>NC_000010.11:767575-919090 GCF_000001405.40 Homo sapiens | reverse complement strand
TCTTTTTTTTGAGACGGAGTCTCACTCAGTTGCCCAGGCTGGAGTGCAGTGGCTTGATCTCCGCTCACTGCAAACTCCGCCTCTCGGGTTCACGCCATTCTCCTGCCTCAGCCTCCCTAGTAGCTGGGACTACAGGCGCCCGCCACCACGCCCAGCTAATTTTTTTGTATTTTTTTTTATTAGAGATGGGGTTTCACCGTGTTAGCCAGGATGGTTGCGATCTCCTGACCTCGTGATCCACCCACCTCGGCCTCCCAAAGTGCTGGGATTACAGGCGTGAGCCACCGCACCTGGCCCATTGTGGTTATCTTTGAAGCCAGAGATATCCTATGCTACAAGATTGAGTAAAGTTATCTACATTTCCGAACAGTAATTCAGAATCATTGGAAGTGATAGGAATTTTCAATGGCTGATTCTTATAGTTTGCCTGAAACTTTTTTTTTTTTTTTTTTTTTTTTGAGACAGGGTCTCACTCTGTTGCCAGGCTGGAGTGCAGTGGCGTGATCTTGGCTTATTGTGGTCTTGACCTCCCAGTCTCAAGCGGTCCTCCCTCCTCAGCCTCCCGAGTAGCTGGGACTACAGGCACGTGCCACCACACCTGGTTAATTTTTGTATTTTTTTGTAGAGATGGGTTTTCATCTTGTTGCACAGGCTGGTCTCAAACTCCTGGGCTCAAGCAATCCTCCTGCCTTGGCCTTCAAAAGCACTGGGATTACAGGCATGTGCCATCATCCCCGGCCTGTCTGAAACTCTTTTTGTGATGTTAGTGTTGACCTAAAATGAAGAAGCTGAGTGAAGAGTTTATTTGGGCCAAGCATGATGATTGCAACCCAGGAGCATAGACCAAGTTGCTCAGCGGCAGTTACAAGTGGATTTTTATGATGGGATGATGTATGACGGTGCTGGGAAGGCTCATTCTCAGCCCTCAGTCAAGTCACTGATTTATGTAACTGTCATTGCTTGTTAAATCTTCTGTAGTCTTTGAATTTCATGCTTTTGGTTTTCTTAGAGGTAAAACAATAAAATACATAGTAAAAATCCTATTACATTGGAGATTCAATCCAAATTGTAGGAAAACAATAAAAACTCAAACACAATGGTTAAGGCTGGAATCTAATAACATGGGTACTATAGTTTTCTTATGAAGCATAATTTTTTCTCTCTCCAGTCCCCATTTTTACTGAAGATATAAATCTTAGGAGGACCAGCTTACTTGCAAAATAAGTTTTAGTATTATACTTGGGCTGATTATTTGCATAAAATGCAACAAGAATAATGATTGGCCATATAGGTTCTTTAAGTTGTCTTTGCTGGAACTTTCATAAGGAATTTTGGATTCAACTATAAAGCCTCAAGGCTAGGAAGCCAAGCCAAGGACTATGCTGGTAATACTTACATGAATTGGGTGAATTCCTCTCTTCTTGAGGTCGCAAAATATCTTGAGGTTCCTGGGCTTGTCAGAAAGTAAGATTGTTTTACTTGCTGCACATCAGGAACCTTGTAAAGGAGCCATGTAAACAAGGTACCAGGCTAGTCTTTCCAACAGGCTTTTTATTGGCTCTACATAGTCAACCTCTGTTCTTTAAACCAGTCTGGTCATATCTTAAAATACGCCATTCCAGTCAAGAGTGTCGGTAGAATAACCAGTGTCTTAATTGTGTCCTGTTACAATAAACCGGTTTTTATTGAACTTAAAACGCATATAATTAGACTGTCATAAAATAAGAGTACTCATGAATAGTTTATACATTTTGGAGAAATAAGGTAGAGAGTAAGGTGAATGTTTCAGTCTTGCTCATAAAGTTATGTTTTACCCATTTGCTACAAGCTATAAAAAGCTTGAAAGAAAAAAGCTTCCTCGACTTGGGAAAACAAAACATGAAAAGAATCAGCAATGTTTCAAACAAAAAGTCGTCAAAATCATTTCAGTCATCTGTAATTTCAGTCCCATGTAATTAAGTTTTATTCTGCTTGATATACAGAGTTAGCAATCATCATGAACACAACAGTTTATTAGAGTTCTGAAAGTTTTTACTTACTCCAATGATAATGGTCTTCAAAATTATCAGAAACTTGTATTCAAGAGTACTTACCACCTGGCGCAGTGGCTCATAGCTATAATCTCAGCACTTTAGGAGGCCAAGAAGGGAGGATCGCTTGAGGCCATGAGTTCAAGACCAGCCTGGCCAACATAGCAAGACCCCCATCTCGACAAAAAATAGAAAAATTAGCCAGGTGTGGTGGTGTGTGCTTATAGTTGTAGCTACTTGGGAGGCTGAGGTGGGAGGATCACTTAGGTCCAGGAGTTTGAGGTTGTAGTGAGTTAGAAAGTGCCACTGCACTCTAATCTGCACAACAGAGCAAGACCTTGTCTCTTTATTTATTTGTTTGTTTTGAGACGGAGTTTCACTCTTGTTGCCCAGGCTGGAGTGCAATGGCGTGATCTCGGCTCACTGCAACCTCCACCTCACAGATTCAAGTGATTCTCCTGCCACGGCCTCCCAAGTATCTGGGATTACAGGCATGCGCCACCACGCCTGGCTAGTTTTGTATTTTTAGTAGAGATGGGGTTTCTCCGTGTTGGTCAGGCTGGTCTCGAACTCCTGACCTCAGGTGATCTGCCTGCCTTGGCCTCCCAAAGTGATGGGATTACAGGCATGAGCCATCGCGCCCAGCCAAGACCTTGTCTCTTAAAAAAAAAATTATTTTCCATGAATTCCCTTGAAGAAAAAGCAAATTTTTGACTGTAGCCAAGTGTAAACTACTTTTTGAGAAGAGTCAAAGTAGAACAATAATTGTCTGTGGATGCCAAAAGACTTAGAGTAGCTACAGTTAAAGACACAATTTACAAGGAAATTTGGTTATTTTTGTGGCATACAACAATTTAACATAATAACCATAATTATGTCTGACATATCAAGACATATCAGGATTTCAGAAATCTCATGTAACGTTGGAACACACATTAATACCATGCACACAAATATAACCCAAAGTTAAACACCATTTCTTATTTGACAAAGCTTCACATACAATTTTAACATACCAATTAAGCCTAATAGGTCTCTCTCGGACTTCCAGGGGGTTCCTTTTGGAAAAGACTTAATTTTAGAATTTGAAAGTTGATTTTGGGAAATGTGTCAAATATTGAAAAGGATGTTGTTCAAAACAGAATCACAGGTTGCTGTAAAATAATAGTCATTTAGCCAGATAATTGAAATATTTCAAAAAGCAAAAACCTTTTTTTTTTTTTTTTTTGAGGCGGAGTCTCGCTCTGTCTCCCAGGCTGGAATGCAGTGGCGCCATCTGGGCTCACTGCAACCTCCGCCTCCTGGGTTCACGCCATTCTCCTGCCTCAGCCTCCTGAGTCGCTATTCTCTTGCCTCAGCCTCCTGAGTAGCTGGGACTACAGGCGCCCACCACCACATCCAGCTAATTGTTTGTATTTTTAGTAGAGATGGGGTTTCACCGTGTTAGCCAGGATGGTCTCGATCTCCTGACCTCGTGATCCACCCACCTTGGCCTCCCAAAGTGTTGGGATTACAGGTGTGAGCCACTGCACCCGGCCAAAAAAACAAAAACTTTTTCTCTTTTTTGATACTCAGTTTTCTAAACAATCAAAAGACCTAAAAAGACGACATGAGACCAACAGAATCTTTTTTTTTCCAGCTTATTCAAAAGGTGAGCAAAAGTCTTTTGTTATCCTCATTAATATTATATGAACATCTTGTTCAAAAGAGAAAAATAAATTTTACCTTTGCATCAGTATATTGTCAGTGCTAGAGCCTTTTATTTTTTTTTCCCCTGGAGACAGGGTCTGCTCTGTTGCCTGGGGTGGAGTGTAGTGGTGTAATCATAGCTCGCTGCAGCCTCAAACTCCTGGGCTCAAGTGATCCTCCCACCTCAGCCTCCTGAGTATAAAGCTATTTTAATGAAACTGTCCATCAAATCTCAATCAGCTTGGACCATGCAAGATAAAATTTCCATAAACTTTTTACAACCACTTAAAATTTTTTCTTAAAGAGCAGACCAGTGCTCCAAGAAAAGTCTGCTGTTCTGACACAGGGGCCCAGACTCTGGCCCTGCATTTGTGTACGTTGTATATTAATGTTCAATTTTAGCAAAACTAAATAATTCTCTTCTAATTTAGCAAGCTTGATTACACACAATTTTTTTTTCACAAGATTAATCTTCCACAAATGGTCTACAACTTGCTGAAGCCTTTGGTTTTGACCTATACCTCTTTTTTTTTTTTTTCTTTGCTGGGGGGTGGGCGGTGGGGGCGGGTGGGGCGCTGAGTCTACCTCTGTAGCACAGGCTGGAGTGCAGTGGCATGATCTCGGCTCACTGCAACGTCCGCCTCCCGGGTCTCGGTTCAAGCAATTCTCTTGCCTCAGCCTCTCGAGTGGCTGGGATTACAGGCATGCGCCACCATGCCCAGCTAATTTTTGTGTTTTTAGTAGAGATGGGGTTTCACCATGTTGGTCAGGTTGGTCTTGAACTCCTGACCTCATGATCCACCCACCTTGGCCTCCCAAAGTGCTGGGATTACGGGTGCGAGCCACCACGCCTCACTCGACTTTTTTTTTTTTTTGGCTGAGTCTTCCTCTGTAGCCCAGGCTGGAGTGCAGTGGCGTGATCTCGGCTCACTGCAACCTACCTTTCTTTTTTATATTGGCATTTTACCTTAAGAGAAAAACTTACTTTCCTTTCCCCCTTATCATTTTGACCATACAAAGATCTCTGTGTACAAGGGAAAAACAATTAGTCTCTTTTCAACTTTCCTTACATCTTTTAAAATATGCTCTGTATATAAAATTGTTTCTTATACCTAATAGTTTTAATTACGTATATTAACTACAATTTTAACTCTTAGTAACTCGAATTTCCAGTGAAAAACCCAGGAAGTAATTTTGAACTGTTTTATACCACATGACAACAATTTCTGAATATTTCCTCAATTTTTGTTTATAACCTAAATATATTTTGTTTATAACCTAAATATATTTAACTTTTCTGTACCCTATAAATGAGATAGATATTTTATGATTACCTGTTAATTAACATAACATGGCTTTAAGATTAAATTTTTGAAAAGGGTTTGTGAAACTATGAAAAGTTTGTTTATAAATATCTTATTTACATTCATCTAATTTATTCTTCGTTATTTTTATTTTTTTTTGAGACCCAGCCTTACTGTGTCACCCAGGCTGGAGTGCAGTGGCTTGATCTCAACTCACTGCAACGTCAGCCTCCTGGGTTTAAGTGATACTCCCACCTCAGCGTCCCAAGTAGCTGGGACTACAGGCGTGCGCTGCCATGCTCAGCTAATTTTTGTATTTTTGGTAGAGAGGGGGTTTCACTGTATTGGCCTGGCTGGTCTCGAACTCCTAGTGATGGGATTACAGGCGTGAGCCACTGCACCCGGCCCTAATTTATTCATTCTTAACAGTTATTATGCTTGAATAGTTCATTAAACAAAGTTAGCCATCATCTCAATTTATTTCTTTGTTAATCATTTCTACAGCCTGTGAAACCCTAGAGTTAAATGAATGAGTATTTGCTGATGAGAAGACATAGCTCCTTTCATTAAACCAACAAACTAATCTTTATTTACCAAAGATCTACCCAAGTCATGAACTAAAAGACATTTGAGTTTCTATTTGTCTGATGAAATATTTGATTTAAGCACTTGTGTTTTCTTTAAGCTGGTTAATTAGAGGTGTTTCATATATTTTGGTAGTGAAATATCACATATATATGATACATAAAAGTAAAGACATGCAGATGCACTAACAGAAGCAGATCTTACAGTTTTATAAGATTTTTCATTTGCTAGTGAAAATAATTCCCCCCCTCCTTTAGACTATCAGTCTCTTAATTATCTGTTCCACTCCCCTAAACAATTCAGATTGCTAGACAACCCTAAATTTTCACTTCCAAAGACATGACTCTCAGGTGAAAACTTACATCCCAAAGGCAGAGAACTTAGATCTAAACACTATTATTTGTTGAATCAAAAAGGGATAGTCAGGAATTGCCAGGAAAAGCATCAAGCAAAGGGAAGGTTTGCTCTGTAAACTTTAAGCCAATGTTTTTTTCATTGTAAAAGTTTATAGTGGCTTGAGTGCAGGAAGGGAGATGCCCTTACAGATGTCAGTTTCTTTTATAAAGAGGTTCAGGATAGCTAGCTAAATGTCAGAAAGTCATATTTTGTGTTTTTGTTTTTGATGGGGTCTCACTGCCATTCAGGTTGGAGTGCAGTGACCTCTGCAACCTCTGCCTCCCAGGCTCAAGTGATGCCTCCCGAGTAGCTGGGACCACAGGCGCACGCCACCATGCCCCGCTAATTTTTTTTTTTGAATTTTTTTTTTTTTTTTTTGTCAAGACGAGGTTTCTCCATGTTGCCCAGGCTGGTTTTGACCTCTTGAGCTCAAGGGATCTGCCCGCCTCAGCCTCCCAAAGTGCTGAGATTACAGGTGTGAGCCAATGCGCTCGGCCATAGAACGTCATATATTGGAGAGCAGTCTGGTTAGATAGGTGGTCTTCCAACCTAGATGTTTCTTGGTTAGATTACTGACTTTAATGAGTGGAAAAAGAAAACATTTGCAGTTTCTAGGGCCTAATACTTAAATTTGAAAAGCAGGCACAGATGAAAGGCAGAGCATCTAGATCAAGCCTGTCCTACCCTCGGCCTGGGATGGCTTTGAATGCGGCCCAACACAAATTTGTAAATGTTCTTAAAACAGTATGAAGATTTTTTTTTTTTGCGATTTTTTTTTCTTTTCTTTTCTCTCTCTCTTTTTTAAGCATCTCATCAGCTGTCATTAGTGTTAGTGTATTTTATGTGTGGCCCAAGATCAGTGTGGCCCAGGGAAGCCAAAGATTGGACACCCTTGATCTACATCTTTAAAAATCAAGGATTCCACTTTTATTAATAGACTGAATCTTGGGTCCCCCAAAGGAGGGAAACGCCATAACACCTGCCACGCAGAGCTTCCACAGTGCTTCTCACTGCAAGGACATTCCCTCAAGGTTGGTGAGTGGCCCAGTCAGCCCACTGTGACCAGCCCATCCCATATGGGAATCTTATCACTTGGTGGTGAGCACTCTCCTAACCTCCAAGTGTTCAAACTGCATCTGTCTAAATGTGTAAAGAAACAGTAGCCATCCTGCAGTAACAACTATTCAGTCAGCCACTTCCCAAACTGCAGCTTTCACCAGTGACTTGTCCGCCATTGCACACACAAAAGTCAGGGTCTCTCTCACAGTGTAAAGTAATCCCGAAAGCCCCCGAAAACCACGAAATTGGACAGCGCAATGCAAAAGGGAGCAGAGCTTTAGACCTGAGAGGAAACTACTCACAACTCTTCAGACTCCGTACTGAAAACAGAAGACCCTTCCAGAAGGGGGTGAGTGTTGCCTCTTCCTGTGTTCCGAAGCGGGTCTCAGAGTCATTAGAAGTGTCCTCTAGATTTCTTCATGTATCAAATATGGCAAAAAGAAGGAGTAGAAGTGTGGAAGGAAACAGAACAAGTCTCAGAGGAACCATTTTAGGAAGATCTTAAGCTTTCTGACAGGCAAATTAAGTTTTGTATTTTCCTCCACAAAAATCATACCAACAAGACAGGAAGCAAACAGGGATCAAACACATTTTAAGGTGAGTTTCAGTTGACTGAAAAGAGTTCCCAGAAACAGGATCCAAAAGAGGAAAAAGCAGAAAGGCTTTTTTTTTCCTTCCAAAAAAACAATAGCCAAAGTATCAGCTTTTTATACTTCTGACCGTAGAACTCTGAAAAAGAATGTTTTCAAATCTTATCATCAGATTTCAGCACAAACATAAAGTACGTTTCCCATTTAGTTTCTCTGGTTCTAAAGCCAACTTTTCCCCCAATTAGGTACACAGATTAATTATTTTAGACACTTAAAGGATGCTCATTTTGGCTACTGCTGCTCACAACTGTCCTGTGTTAGGCGGCTCCACTTTCTAAATGTAAGAGAGTGCCCCCTAAGTGCACACACATCCAGCTGATGTTTCCACAAAGACTGCTCAGATTGTAAAGTCCAATTTTGTATAATTTACTAACTTCTGAAAAGTGACAAATGGCTGGGAATGTGTTTAGGGTCTAAGTGTGATGTGACTTGGACTGTCCCTAACTGCCAGGGGACGGGAGTGCTCAAGCAGGGTACGGGGGACCAGACCCTCACACCCATCTGGAGGAGCAAAAGGGCTGTGTGCTTTTCAGTAGGAAACTAACAGGAGTTGGTCACAAATGAAAGGCTAAGCCCAGATTTTCAAATGATAGAAAACAGCTGCAATCTTAAAAGCATGCTCTATAAAACGTAACCACCAGTATCTGCCAGTCCTTTATCCCAAACCTCTGCCATGAGCAGAGGTGGAAAAACCTTGACCCAAAATCCTGGCCCTGAGGCAGAGGCAGAAAGAAGGCAGTTGTCTGCGGAACTCTTCACCCCAGTCTCTTGTCCAAAGACAGCAAAGCCCTCACTCTTAAAGGAAAGAGGGAGTTTGAAAAACAGTCCAAGTAAAATCTAGATGTTCAGCCAAAGAATGGGAGTTCCAATTTCAGGAGACCTCACACAAAACACCACATGAGACCTCTGAAGATGGAGAGTGTCACACTGGTTCCCAGCGCCACTCTCAGAAAAACCAGGTGATTGAGGGGAGACATTCTGAATCCTGCTGTCTTACATCACGTATGTCAGCCTAAAAGGAAGAAGCTGAGGCAAAATTAATATAAGTAGAGAGTTGATTTGGGCCAAGCCTGAGGATTGCAGCCCAGGTGTATGGATTCAGGTTGCTCTGAGTATACACCCCATTAGCAGAAGTTGGAAGTAGATTTTTAAAGGGAAAAAAGGCAGTTCCTGAGTTGTTTACAAAAAATGTACATCAAAATAACATAAGCTATTGATTGGCTGTACATTGTTCATCGTTGTCATAGATTTCAGGAACATGAAGATAAGGGTAAGGCAGCCAGTCAGGAACAAAATGACTAAACAATTCTGCTCAGCATGGATCTGGGGCGGGAGGCATGACAGAAGTCCCACACTCACGGCTCTCTGGGCCTGCATACCTCACATAGCTCAACTGCACTAAGCTGTTTTTCTTTTCTCAGTCACATTGTCTATTGAAGTAGGCATATAACCATAACTGGCCTGTAATTGTAATCCAATTTGTTTATAGGATGGAGATGGTACTGCTATGTCTTAGGTAATTGTCATTTGGAATAGTAAACCAAAGTAAGATTAAAAAAAAAATCTTGGAACTTAAATTCTTTTTTTTTTTAGAGATGGAGTTTTATTCTTGTTACCCAGGCTGGAGTGCAGTGGCGCGATCTCAGCTCACTGCAACCTCCGCTTCCCAGGTTGAAGTGATTTTCCAGCCTCAGCCTCCCGAGTAGCTGGGATTACAGGCTCCTGCCACCATGCCTGCCAAATTTTTGTACTTTTAGTAGAGACGAGGTTTCACCATGTTGGCCAGGCTGGTCTCAAACTCGTGCCCTCAGGTGATCCACCTGCCTTGGCCCCCCAAAGTGCCAGGATTACAGGCATGAGCCACAGAGCCCGGTCTCTTTTGTAAAAAGTACTTTTGTAAGTAACAATTTTAGGGGACATTCACTATATTTTAATATTAAACAGTTTGCATTGTTTCTGGGAAACAATTCTGGTCTGCAGGTGTAATGCCTAATATTTGAAGATTGTTGTTGGATTCTGTGCTTGGAGTCAGTGACATTGACTCTCTGAGCAACTTGGAATTTCCTTTTTTTTTTTTTTTTTTTGAGACGGAGTCGTGCTCTGTCGCCCAGGCTGGATTGCAGTGGCGCGATCTCGGCTCACCGCAAGCTCCACCTCCCGGGTTCACGCCATTCTCCTGCCTCAGCCTCCCGAGTAGCTGGGACTACAAGTGCCCACCACCATGCCCGGCTAATTTTTTGTATTGTTAGTAGAGACGGGGTTTCACCGTGTTAGCCAGGATGATCTTGATCTCCTGACCTTGTGATCTGCCCGCCTCAGCCTCCCAAAGTGCTGGGATTACAGGCATGAGCCACCGCGCCTGGCCGCAACTTGGAATTTCATAGCTCCCACGCCTGCCGTTTGGCTGTGGTGTGTAACACATGCTGTGTGCCAGGCATTGTGCTATCTGTTTCAGGTGTCCCCCAAAGGAGGAGAGGTGGGTCGGCCCCTCACCACCTGGCAAGGGAGGCCCCCCCCGTGCTGCAGCCTGCACTCCTTGACGTTTCCTTTTCTTGTTTGTAGATGAACTTGGAGGAGTCCTGGAACTTCTGAATTCTGTTTCATAGCTTTCAGTATATTTTGGAAAGGATTTTTTGACCTTTCCCTCCTGAAGAAAAAGCGGTTTTTCTCCTGCTTTCGCGTCACAACAATCAACCCAGAAGAATTCTGTGACCGCTGGTCACCAAGAAATGTGCGGGGATTTCTCCCCACCAGCAACCAATCAGTTTTACAGCAGACACCAGTGGGGCACCCTCCCCTTCAGTCTCAACACTCTACCTGGAGATAGTGTCAGGTCCCACAGAATGAGGGCTCATCCCTACAAGACTGCCCCTTCTGATGCCACTCCCACGCCACAGGTTGTTTACCCATGCTTCCTAGGATCCCCATGGCCCCCTCTTTGGGTTCCATTACTTTGCTTGACAGACTCACACAAGTAAGGAAAACATGTTTCCTGGTTTATTTTGAAGGATATTACAAAGGATGCAGATGACGAGATGTGTGGGGCAAGGTGTGGGGGAAGGGCAAGGGGCTCCCATGCCCTCTTTGGGCTGCCACTCTTTAACAACCTCCATGTGTTCAGCTATCTGGAAGCTCCCCAAACCGAGTCCTTTTTCTGTTGTTGTTGGGTCGGAGTCTTGCTCTGTCACCCAGGCTGGAGTGCAGTGGCATGATCTTGGCTCAGGCTCACTGCAACCTCCACCTCACGTGTTCAAGTGATTTCTCCTGCCTCAGCCTCCCAAGTAGCTGGGATTACAGGTGCCCGCCACCAGGCCCAGCTAATTTTTGTATTTTTAGTAGAGATGGGGTTTCACCATGTTGGCCAGGCTGGTCTTGAACTCCTAACCTCAGGTGATGCACCTGCCTCGGCCTCCCAAAGTGCTAGGATTACAGGCGTGAGCCACCGCACCCAGCCTAGGGTTTTTGTGGAAACTCCGTTACATAGGCATGATTGCTGAAATCATTGGCCATTGATGATCAACCTTCTGCCACTTTCCCCTACCTGGAGATTGGGAGTGGGCTGAAAGTCCCAACAGTCTAATTCTGCCTCGGTCTTTCTGGTGACTAGTTCCCATCCTGAAAACACCTTAGGACTGCCAGCCCAGTCATATCATTAGTATACAAAAAGACATTTATTACTTGGGAGATTCCAGGGATTTTAAGAATTCTATGCCATGAAATGGGAGGAAAACCAAATATATATATTTCACGATCTCACATCCCCCAATACAAATAATTGTTTCAGTATGTGTTTGCCACTTCGGAACTTCTTTAGTGATTTGTTTTGATAATACAATAAAAATTTTTAGTCATCACTTTGTATTTAACTCCTTTGTATGTTTAGATCCCAGGTGCACACTTAAACGGACATGCATGTATGCATATACAAAGTCTAGAGAATAAAATAAAATGAAAATGAAAATTAACTCAAAGTAATTTTGCCCTCAGCTGTGAATATTGCCTTTTCCCTTATTACACCACTTGGAATGTGCACCAGCAGAGGCCGTTCTTTGGACTCATCCCATTTTCTGGGCTTCATATTTTAAATGCTAGTTAATTTTTCCCACATTTGTTGCCACAAGATAATAAATTATTAATGTATTTACTGAGATTTTACTCGTTTAGGTACTGTGTTAGGGATACAACAGTGAACAGGGTAGACATATTTCTGACCTCCGAGTGATAAAACTTTTGTGTTGGAGTGAGGATGATAATTTGATATGCTGTATTCCTGGGTGTAAAGGTTTGCAGGAGTACATAGAATAACCAACCAAGGCTTTGTGGGAGGATGGGGAGAGCATCTCAGTAGCTGTGGTTCTTTTCACTTTATCCTGGTGCAGCCTGTCAGAAGGTTTCAGTTGCGAGTCCCTCGCTTTAGGGAGGGCAGTCTGGAAGAATCTGTGGAGTTTGGGGAGGTGGGAAGAAGGGAGATGCTTTAAGAAACTGGGTGGTAATTCAGTTCAGTTGGTGGTTTTCTGCACAGTTTCATGACAGGGATAGAAACTTGAGCAGAAGTTAAAGCTGTATTTGCAAGTTTCTGCCTTGGGCACCTGAGTCAATGATATGTCCTTCAATAAGAGAGATTGGTTATCAGTTCGTATTTGTTTTAAATGAGAAGTAGGGAATTGATTTTGAGAACTCTGCAGGATCATAAGGTGTTCACTGGGCATTCACTTAGATAATTTTGTGCTGAAACTGAGCATATGGTTGTGAACAGAAGCCATGAGAAACTGGGAGCACAGGAGCATAACTCAAGGAGACAAGGAGGTAGACTCCTTTGCACACATACCGTGGCCTGTCACCAGGATCAACGCTGTCTGTGGATCCATGCATACCTGTGGGTTGCACCACACTGGCGCTGGGCTTCTCTTCAGCAGGGCTGTTCCCTCTTCCCACCAGTGGAGTTGTGTGCTTACCAAAGCCAGGTCAGCTTCCAAACTTGTTCATCGATCATACTCATTCGTGCAGCTGTGTGATTTAATTAATATAAATTGATCAAAATAGTGTAAAAGCAGTTACTCATTTGAAAACTTTGGAGTATCTCAAAAACAAATCACAGAGAAACTGCTGATGAATTAGATATGAAAATAAGGATAAAAACTGAAGAAGAGTCATAGAAGCATTGTACTATTCAGAGGGTTTTCCTGTCTCTCAGCTGCACTTTAAAAAACAATGAAGATCTTTGTTGATGCATTATGGATATAGTTTATGTGGGAAAGAAATAATATCTAATTGACCAAGTCTCAGAAAAAGGCCCGTGTGAATGAAGATGTATAAAATAGCTAAAGATTTATGTATTCATCTTTATGATTGCCCATTTGATTTACTATTTCTTTTGATTGCACAGGGCAAGAGAGCTTTTGCCCTACTTAGTGCAGAAGAGCATTCCCAAGAGGCTGAGAAAGCAGGTGACGAAGTGGAAGAGGGTAGAGTGGGCTTCAAGGGAAAGGCTGGTCTGTTCCACTGTGCTGTGAGAGGTCCTCCCTGTCCACCAGCAAGCAGGAGGCTGGTTCTTGTAGAAGGAAAGTTTTCTGGGAGGTTGGAGATAGAAACAGTTGAGAGCTGCCTCTTCAGCAGGAGGCCAGGAGGACGTCCAGTCCTGCTGATTCTGCCCTCCTTCCCTGCTCCTCAGCTCCTCCCTTGCTCCTCAGCTCCTCCCTTGCTCCTCAGCTCCTCCCCTCCCCACGTTCACTTTCTTTTTTTTGCGACAGAATAAGCTGTTGAAACAGTGACAGGGAAGGATTGAACATAATGGAAAAAAACATAATTGCAAAGACAGGAGTAAATGGGATCTAGACTGGGCATGGAGGGACTAATGAAGATAGGATCCTGACTTCGGTCAAGTGTTTTATGTCTGCTCTATTTAGATTCCTTGTCTTGACTTCTGAGGTGTGATTTTCAAGAGCTATATAGGATTATAATTGTTATGGAATATTTCCCTTTCACTGAAATGCTAAGAAATACGTATATATTAGGAATATTAAATTCAAGAAAGGAGGACTTCACATTAATGCATGTGTAAAATAAGGTGTATTTTATCACCACTTATAACACTGTTAAATGGCATTTAATTATTAAGGAAGGTAATTTGCAGGTTCAGATAATAAGACTTTAGGGAGTGCCTCCAGGGCTGTATTAATAACTTGAGGAAGACATTTTTATAACTATAGATTGAGTATCCCTTATTTGAAATGCTTGAGGCCAGAAGTGTTTTATATTTCAGTTATTTTTGGAGTTTGGGATATTTGCATATACATAATGAGGTATCTTGGGGATGGGATCCGAGTCTAAACACAGAATTGTTTTGTATACACCTTATACACATAGCCTGAAGGTACTTTTATACAATGTTTTAAATAAATTTAGCGTGAAATGAGGTCTGTACATTGAACCATCAGAAAGCAAAGATGTCACCATCCCAGCCACCCATGTGGACAGTCTGGTTGCTTAATGCCACCATCGTGCCTGGTTCTGGATTTATATGCTACCAAGTGGCAGTCATCTTCTTACCCTTGCTCGCATGGGAGTACTCAGCAGTAAAGAACATGACATAGCATTAATACAGTGAGGAAATGATGTGCTCGGGTAACTAACCAGCCCAGTGACATCGCCACAGTACCTGGATCAGCCGTCAGATAACAGCAGCAGCAGACTTTTCAGTGTCCACCTATGATGCTGTGTTGTGATTAAAAGGTCACTGTACACTGTGTTTTATGTATTTTTATTTTATTTCATTTTATTTATTTATTTTTATTTTATTTTTATTTTTATTTTTATTTTGAGACAGTCTTCCTCTGTTGCCCAGGCTGGAGTGCAGTGGCATGATCTCGGCTTAATGCCCCCCCAACCCTCCGCCCCCCAGGCTCAAGTGAGCCTCTTAATTTAGCCTCCCAAGTTCCTGGGACTACAGGCACATGTCACCACACTTGACTAATTTTTGTATTTTTTATAGAGACAGGGTTTCACTGTGTTGCCCAGGCTGGTCTCAAACTCCTGAGCTCAAGTGATCTCCCTTTCTTGGCCTCCCAAAGTGCTGGGATTACAGGTGTGAGCCACTGCACCCGGCCTATTTTATTTATCTTTTAGGGGACAGAGTGTCGCTATGCTGCCCATATTGGTTTTGAACTCCTGAGCTCAAGTAATCCTTTAGCCTCAGCTTCCTAAGTAGCTAGGACTGCAGGTATGCATCATTGTGCTTGGATTGTGTTTAATTTTCGTAGGTGAGAAGAAACATCAGAATTTTTCACTTGTGATGTCATGTTGGTGCTCAAAAAGTTTTAGATTTTGGAGGATTTCAGATTTCAGATTTTCAGATTAGTGCTGCTCAGCTTGTATTCTGTCAGTGTTGCGTGTCAAGGTTTTTTTTTAACAAAATCAATTTATGTATCATTTCATGGTTCTCTGACTCATTGTTAGGGACAAATATGCCTTCCCATTTGAGCCGCACAGGATTAAAGCAGCTCCGAGCTGCTTCCCAGCTCTGACATTTTGCCATTCTAAAAAATGAGTTTACTCACCACTTCCCCATCTTACTCTTTGAGTATTATGTATTTTCAATTGAAAACTGTAGTTTTGTGATGATGAATTGGAAAGCTCAATAGAACATGATCTGTATTCCTTGAAGAAATGCAGGATCCACTGGAAATGAGGTGGAGAGAGACCTTTTCCACCCATCAGAGTGAAGCGGTGTACTCTACAAGGTGCATTCCTGACGAGGAAGGCCCTGTGTGCTGTGCTGCCAATTCTGGCTTTTCCTCAGTTCAGGTGTATGCCCATGCTACTACGTTTGTCCATCAGCATTTTTGTTTTGTTTTGTTTTCAGATGTAAATGAGAGGAAGCAAAGATTTTTATGGAGACTATCAATAATCTCAAGAAAATACATATTCAAAATGGAATTAAAGCCGTGCAGTAAGATAAGTTTATATATGCAATTCCTTAAGGTAAAAGTAAATTATAAAAGATTGAATCAGGCAGTTCTGCTCTTTGTCCAAAAGGTAAGATTGCATGTGAAACATCAACAGGAAGTTGCCTTTTCCTCCTCTGGACTCTGGGTATACTTTGTTTGCCATCTGCGAGATCAGTCCATGGCTGAGAGATGGCATAAGTGAGCCTGAGTGCAGCAGTGAGCAGGTGGGTCTGAAGGATGTGGAAGAGTGGAAGTAGGGGACGCTTGCAAGTCAGGAGAGGCTTCCTGGGCATCCAGCACACATCCTGCCAGGTTAGGTTGAATCTTGTTTGTCCAGGTTGACATTCTCAACATGAGAAGTAATTTCTAATGGAATAAAATGCTGATGGACAGAAAAATGGAGGTTAGAATATATTCTAAACAGACTAGACAAAAGAGACAACTAGCTTTTCAACCAGGTAATTTAACATCTGTATTAAAAAGATTTTATGCCAGGCACCGTGGCTCACACCGGTAATCCCAGCACTTTTCGAGGCCGAGGTGGGCGGGATCACTTGAGGTCAGGTTGAGACCAGCCTGGCCAATATGGTGAAACCCTGTCTCTACTAAAAATACAAAAACTAGCTGAGTGTGGTGGTGCACACCTGCAATCCTAGGTACTTGGGAGACTGAGGCAGGAGAATCACTTGAACCTGGGATGTGGAGGTTGCAGTGAGCTGAGATGGCACCATTGCGCTCCAGCCTGGGCAACAGAGTGAGACTCTATCTCAAAATTAAAAAAAAAAAAAAAAAAGATTTTATGTTTCTGCTTCAACTTGAGGTTAAATGAAGTGAACGTGCTGCAGCTGTGCCCTGCTTAGACTGCAGATTTTGGTTTTGATGCTTCTTGGTAGTCCAGTATTTGACAAAGGAAGCTGTGTGAATTAGCTAAGCTTGTGTCCTAAAAAGATACTCCTAATGTAGTTGTCAACTTTTCCATTTGCTTTTCCCTTTGTGAAAGTGTGTGAAAAGGTGTGGAAACCCTTCCTAAGAAGCTCTTTACTGGGAAAGGTGTAGCACGGGATAAAAGCAAGAAGTGGTACTCCGAGGGCCATGATTCGCACTGCTGCAGCTTAGGGCTTGTGCAAAACAATGTTCTGTGCATTTGGTTCAGATACTTTATTTCAGCTTCTTTACAACCAAGTATTAGAGTGGTGGTTTTTGAGTTCGTCAAAGGTTTAATGAGTAAAATGCTCTCCTAGCCAGAGGGTTAATGAGATGATCTAAACTCCAGTTTCGGTGGTTGTTTTGTATTATGTTTTAGTAAGAATCCTAGCTAAAATGGTCTTTTCAAAAGATTGTACTCTCCAGAAGATAATGTCGTAGACCCAGTCACAGGCTTTAACGGTGGAGGGGACCGTTGTCCTTTTTTTGTGTGTCGACTTAGTAGACACGTTCTAAATTTAAAATCAGGAAGATTTTGAAAGTATATTATTTGGTGGTCTTCTCATGTAGGTACTTTTTCAATCAGATCTTGCTAACAAATAAGTTTTTGTATCTTGTGTCTGATTATGTCCTCCTTAGGAGGAGAACCAACTCAAACTATAAATAAAACTCACATTTTCTCACTGCTGTTTTTTTCAGTAGAAGCACCGATGTACACATATAAAGGACATTTTACAAAATTAGTCTTGAAATTTATTGGCAACATCTCCTTAGGAATACTCCAGTGCTGAGTGCCAGTTTAAATGTATAAACAACTACTCTACTGAGATTGGACGCATTTCTTTTATCCGTCAGTATCTTTGAGTGACACACTTACTATAAGAACATGAAACGAAAAGAATGGAATATCATAGAGATACTGAATCTTGAAAAAAACAAAAGACTAAAATAACAGTTTTGTTGGAAGCAGCAGTCTGTTGCTCTGTAAATGTTCCCACTATTCAAGCTTACAGATTCACTTGAGTATATGATGTGTATAAGGTACATGGAAGGAACATAAAATAATCTGCCCTAAGGTGCTCTCACATTATTCTATTGTAAGATAAAAATGTGCATTTCAAATATTACAGAGTGGTGCTGGCAGCCGTGAGATAAACCATATCATCCAACTAACAGCACAAGGCAGATGGATGAGGAACTAGAATTCCTATTGTATTTTATTTTCTGCACTTCTCTATTTAGATATGCACGTGGGAATCATAATGAAAATTTCTGTTAAGAAATATATCCTTCTGCTGGGTGCGGTGGCTCACTCCTGTAATCCCAGCACTTTGGGAGGCCGAGGCGGGTGGATCAGGAGGTCAGGAGTTCGAAACCAGGCCAACATGGTGAAACCTCGTCTCTACTAACAATACAAAAAATTAGCCGGGCGTGGTGGCAGGTGCCTGTAATCCCAGCTACTCATGAGGCTGAAGCAGGAGAATCGCTTGAACCCAGGAGGCAGAGGTTGCAGTTAGCCGAGATTGTGCCATTGCACTCCAGCCTGGGCAAAAAGAGCAAGACTCCGTCTCAAAAAAAAAAAAAAAAAGAGGCCAGGCGCTGGTGGCTCACACCTGTAATCCCAGCACTTTGGGAGGCTGAGGCAGGCAGATCATGAGGTCAGGAGTTCGAGACCAGCCTGGCCAGTGTGGTGAAACATCGTCTCTCTAAACATACAAAAATTAGCCAAGCGTGGTGGCGTGCACCTGTAGTCCCAGCTACTCGAGAGGCTGAGGCAGGAGAATCGCTTGAACTCGGGAGGCAGGGGTTACAGTGAGCTGAGATTGTGCCACTGCACTCCAGCCTGGGCAACAGAGTGAGACTGCTTCTCACAAAAAAAAAAAAAAAAAGGAAATATATCCTTTTTTAGCTGGGCTTTGTGGCATGCTCCTGTAGTTCCAGCTACCTGGGGAGCTGAAGCAGGAGGATCACTTGGACCCAGAAGGTCGAGGCTGCAATGAATTGAGATCGGGCCACTGCACTCCAGCATGGGTGAAAAAGTGAGACCCTACCTCAAAAAAAAAAAAAAAAAAAAAAAAAAAAAAAAAGACATCCTTCTTTCCGATCCTAGAATGCTATGACTGTGCTTTTTATTATTATCATTTTTTTATTTTTATTTTTTGAGATGGAGTTTTGTTCTTGTTGCCAGGCTGGAGTGCAATGGTGCGATCTTGGCTCACTGCAACCTTCTTCTCCCAGGTTCAAGCAATTCTCCTGCCTCAGCCTCCCCAGTAGCTGAGATTACAGGCGCATGCCACCATTCCTGGCTAAGTTTTGTATTTTTTAGGAGAGACGGGGTTTCATCATGTTGGCCAGGCTTGTCTCAAACTCCTGACCTCAGATGATCCACCCGCCTCGGCCTCCCAAAGTGGTGGGATTATAGGCGTGAGCCACTGTGCCTGGCCATGATTGTGCTTCTGATGATTTGATTTAGCTTCTGTGATCATTTTTTTTTTTTTCTGATCAATTTATGTAGCTTCAAAGGGATCAAAGTCTGGGTGGTAAACTGTTTTCTACAAATTTTGTTTGGACATTGAAAGTAACACATTTTGATTTTTTCTAATTGATTCCCAAGGAGATTATATAGTACTTAATTAAGGCAATCTCTAAAGTTCTTAGCCCTTTTTCCTTATTTAGGTAAATTTCTGTTTACTTATCTAGTTGAATATTCATTTACTGATTTTTGTAAAATGGTCTGTAAAATAAAATTATGTTGGAGTTCTTGGAACACATGTCTGTCTAGGAGCATCTTGTGCTGTCCATCTCTGTTCATGCGTCATCCCTTAACTCATTGTTCCTAATCATAGACAATTAGAGTTAGAAGGTAACTTAGCAAACTTTACAAATAAAGAAATGGAGTACTTAGACAACACTGTAGTAAAACTGCATATATTTGAATGTTACTAACAAAAGGAAGAAGATCAAGGTAAGTTGTAATATATCATTGGTGGGATATGTATTTCTGTCCTGTTCTCAGTATCACTGTGTGTAGATAGAAGATAAAACACAGGGATACCTGTGTTCCAGGAAAAGGCAATAGAATGTGCAGAACATGGCAAATAGAACAGGGAGTAATCTGTTGTGAGTAGGGAGTTCCTGACTTCAGAATAATGTTTTTAGATTCAGGAGAGAGGTTTTATATTTGGCTCCCATACAGCACACTCTCATGGGAAATGTCTGTTCTAAGGTCAACCCATAATGCAAAAATCATCAATATACTTGAAGATCCCCGTGTAAGGTACAATGTATTTAATATTATCACTGATACAATTGATCCAATACCAGTTTTAGTCTGGCATTGAATCAAATCACTGTTTTTGTTGTATAAAAAGAGAAATATTTAGCTTATATTTAAGTACCATATTGTAAGAAAAAAGATGCTTATCTTTACATGCTAAAATCATGATCTGTACATTGGTGCAGTGAATATTACTGTAAAAGGGAAGAAGGAATGAAGACGAGCTAAGGAAACTGTAGGTGCACTTCTCTGAGGTCATGTTACGATGTGACATTCACCCACATGCAGGGATTGATAGAGTGAATTGCCTGTTAAATGATCTCCAGGCACATATAGTTGAATAGCAAAATTATATGTGCATTAATATAGCCTCACTGAACTTAGTAGCTTTGTGACCTTAAATTATCCCTGATCTTAATTTCCTGCTGTGCTAAATAGGCATGGAACCTAATTAACAGAATTAAGTTTATTTGGTAACGTGGAGAAAGCACTTAGAATAATCCTTACCAAACTCATTCTTTTTCTTTCCAGGTTTCTGATTCAGAGACAAATAATTTGTGTTTTCACATTACCCTTTCGTACCAGAAAAGAATTACCTGCTGTTTAGGAAATGCCTCTTTATTTTGATTTTCTTAGAAATTATCAAGTTCTGAAATTATGATTTTTGCTATTATTTGAAAATCCAATGAGTTATGCCAGACACACATAAAAAAGGGAGGGTCTTAACCTAGTAGTTTATTATTTGGGTTGTTTCTACTTCTTGGCTATTACGAATAATGTTGCTTTGAAAATTCACATACAGGTTTTCAGGCAGATACATGTTTTCAGTTATCTGGGATATATCCCTAGGAGTAGAATGACTAGATCATATGGTAACTCGGTGTTTAACATATTGAGAAACTGCCAGACTGCTTCCTATAATGGCTGCTCTGTTTTACATTTGTACCAGCAGTGTGTGAAGATTGTAGTTTCTGTATGTACTAGCCACACTTGATATTACCTATCTTTCTGATAATAGTCATCCAAGTGGATGCAAAGTAGTATTTTTGTTTTAATTTTCTGTATTTACTTCATTTTATTTAATTTCATTTCAAAGTGGTATTTTGTGTTTTGATTTGTATTTCCCTCATGACGAATGATGTGGACGATCTTTTCATGTGCTTGGTGGCCATTTGTATATCTTCTTTGGGAAAATGTTCGTTCGGATCATTTGCCATTTTTTTTTTTTTTTTTTTTTTTTTTTGAGATGGAGCCTCGCTTTGTCGCCCAGGCTGGAGTGCAGTGGCGTGATCTTGGCTCACTGCAACCTCCGCCTCCCAGGTTCAAGTGATTCTCTTGCCTCAGCCTCCCAAGTAACTGAGATTATAGGCGCCCACTACCATGCCTGCCTAACTTTTGCATTTTAAGTAGAGACAGGGTCTCACCATGTTGGCCAGGCTGGTCTCGAACTCCTGACCTCAAATAATCTGCCTGCTTCGGCCTCGGAAAGTGCTGGGATTACAGATGTGAGCCACTGCGCTGGGCTCTCATTTGCCAATTTTTAAGTTGGGTTATTTGTCTCATTATAAGTTTTAGGAATTGTTTATATATTCTAGATATATGTTCCGTATTGGATATATGATTTGCAAATGTTTTTTCGCATTCTTTGGGTTATCTTTTCACTTTCTTGATAGTGTGCTTTGAGGGGCAAAAGTTTTTCGTTTTGATGAAATCCAGTGTATTTTTTTCTTCCTGTTTATACTTTTAGTGTCATAATTAATAAACCATTGCCTAATACAAGTTTATGAAGATTTACTGCTGTTTTCTTCCAAGTCATATAGTTTTAGCTTTTACATTTAGTTCTTTGGTTCATTTTGCCTTAATTTTTGTGTATGTTGAGGTAGGAGCCCAGCTTCATTATTTTCATGTTGACATTTAGTTGTCCCAGCACCATTTGTTGACAAGATTGTTCTTTTCCCCTCAACTGGTCTTGACACCTTTGTGGAAAATCAGTTGTCTATAAATGTAACGGTTTCTTTCTGGACTCTCGTTTCTATTGTATTGATCTGTTTGTCTGGTCTATGCCAGTACCATGCTGGCTTGATTACTGTAGCTTTGTAGTAAGATTTGAAATTAGGAAGTGTGTGTGTCTTTCAATTTTATTCTTTCTCAAGATTGCTTTGGCTATTCTGGGTCCCTTGCATTTCCATAGGAATTTTAGGATCAGCTCAGCAATTTCTGCCAAAAAAAAAAAAAAAAAAAATTCTCCCACAAAAGTGAATTTTGATAGGGATTATATTGAATCTGTAGCTTAATTTGGGGTTTGTTGGCATTGTAAAAATACCATGTCTTCCCATCTGTAAACATGGGATGTCTTCCTCTTCATAAACATGGATGTCTTTCCATCCATGAACATGGGCATCTGTCCTTGAGAACTGGGTTTTAAGGGTTTGTATTAGTGGAGTGGTTCTCAAGCTTTTGGTCTAAGGACGTCTTTATGCTGTTAAACATTACTGAAGATGCCTAAAAGCTTGAGTTTATTATATGGTTTGTCTCCATCTGTGGTTTATCTCTGTCTGTATTTACTATGTTAAGTATCAAGAATCAATTAATATTATAAATATACATTTTTAATAATAACAAACCCATTAGGTAATATAAATAACATTGTTTATGAAAGGTAGTAGTATTTTCCAAAACAAAAAATAATTCAGTGGGAAGAGTGGCATTGTTTTTTCATGTTTTGTAAATCTCTTTAATGTCTGACTTAATAGAATCTTGGCTGGATTCTTGTCTGCTTTTGCATTTCATCTCTTAGTACTGTGTTATTTTGGTTGAAGTGTGTGAAGGAAATCTGGCCTCAGGTAATTTATTTTATTATTTTGGTAGTCATTTCATATAAATGAATATTGAATATTCTTTGATGCTATACCAAAACTCCACTGTGGTTTTGTGAGGAGAGAATAAGAGTGAAAAAAGCAAAGAACATCTTTGCATTATTTTGAGAATGGTTTGACTTTGTGGCCCCACTGGAAGTGTTTCTGGGACTCTGGACTATGCCTACACCACACATTGAGAACCATTATCTTAGTGAACAGGACTGAGCAGTGTAGTTTCACAAGAAAATTTGCTCACTGAATTGCACTTGATTAATCTGTATTGAAAAACAACTGCAAAGTGACTTAGATGCTTCTCCTGCATGGGCAGCTTCTCCTGCGTGGGCAGCAGTGCCCTTTCTGTGGGAAAGATGGCAGGGGACCTTGGACTCAGCAACTGATGGAATCAGCAAGCTGGATGTTTTATGAAGACGTGTAATAAAAATAATATGTTATTTAAAAAACTGAGACTCTGGGAGATGAAGTCAATAAGTTAATCACACATTGTTAGTCTTTTGGCATATTTTCTTCTAGTTTCTTGTTTTTACGTACTTATAAAATTTGAATTTTTATAAATATATTGCAACTTTAGTATCTACAGTTTTGTCTTTTTTTTAAATCTTTATGCAGTTTTTGTGAGTATTTTAAGTAATTGTAACATACTGCATTCGTTTCTACTTTTCTTTTCTTTTTTTTTTTTTTTGAGATGGACTCTTGCTCTGTTGCCCAGGCTGGAGTATAGTGGTGCGCTTTCAGCTCACTGCAATCTCCACCTCCTGGATTCAAGTGATTCTCATGCTTCAGCCTCCCGAGTAGCTGGGAATTTTTGTATTTATTTTAGTAGACACATGGTTTCACCAGCCTGGTTAGGCAGGTTGGACTTGAACTGACTTCATGTGATCTCCCTACCTTGTCTCCCAAAGTGTTGGGATTACAGGCATGAGCCTACTTTCTGCGTTTTTATTTCCATGGGATTTTTTTTTTTCTAAGCTGCTGTGAACATTGTTAATAAATTTGTTTACACATTTAGTATTATTTCATTAATACAAATTTTAAATAGAAATAAGCATATGAAGTCTTAAGTGTGTACTGATAATATATCCAAGTTAGGTTTTCTTTTACTTATTATTGTGGACAATTTTATTTATTTTTTATTTTATTTTATTTTACGTTATTTTATTTTATTTTTTGAGACTGAGTCTCACTCTGTTGCCCAGGCTGGAGTGGAGTGGCGCGATCTTGGCTCACTGCAACCTCTGCCTCCCGGATTCAGGCAGTTCTCCTGCCTTAGCCTCTCGAGTAGCTGGGACTACAGGCACACGCCGCCATGCGCAGCTAATTTTTTGTATTTTAGTAGAGACAGGGTTTCACTGTGTTGCCCGAGGCTGGTCGCAAACTCCTGAGCTCAGGCAGTCCGCCCGCCTTGGCCTCCCAAAGTGCTGGGATTACAGATGTGAGCCACCGTGCCTGGCTTATTGTGGACAGTTTTAAACACATAGAAGTAGAGAGGATACTATAGTGATCCTCAGTTCACCAGTCATCTAGCTTTAGCTACCATCAGCTTGCCACCATTCATATATTTTTGTTTCTTCTCTTCCCTTAAACTTACCAAAAAAATTGGCATATTCTAAAGCAAATTCCAGACATATATCTTTATTCATGAGTCTTTTAGTTTCTAGCTGTTATAAAGAAGATCTTTTAAAATAAATATAACAATACTATGGTTGGAACTCAATAAAATTAATAGTAATTTTATCATGTCTTTATTACCTAGGCAACCTTAAAAGTTTTTCTATGTCAAAAAGTTTTCTCTGTCTTTATTACCTAGGCAACCTTAAAAGTTTTTCTATGTCATTTTAAACCTAATTTATTTGACTCAGGATCCAAACACAGTTCTTACATCACATTGGATTATTTTGGTTAAGGCTTTTTAATTCTGTGGCAATAAAAATAGCTCTCCTTTTAAATATCTTTTATTTGCTATAGAAATGAGGTCGTCTTTCTTGCCTACATTTTGGATTTAGATGATGGCTTTGTGCTGGTGTGATTTAACATGTATTTCCCTAGAATTCCCTTTAAATTGGGAGTAAGATCTAGAGGTATGATTAAATACAGGCTCTTTTTTTGGCACGACTACTTTGTGGATGGTAGTCTTTGATCATGTCAAAAATAAAATGCCTAGAGGCCCAGTTTTAATGATAATACTGAAAAATAGCTTCAGTCAATGTCTCACTTAACCATTTGGAAACCTCCCATCACGTTCTTCACTTGATAATTTCAGCAGACATCAATGATTATTGACTTTATTATTGTATTAGATATTGGGATATTTTGATTTTTCCGATCCTGTCATTCACTCCCCATTGACTGTGGTTCTTGCCCTGATCAGCTTTTTGGTTATTCAGAAATGCAGTTCATCGAGGAACAGCAGCTTGAAATAACTGTTGTCCTTTAGTGATCTTGGGAATAATAAGTGGGTGTCCTGTAGTCCCAAGGCGAGCACTGTGGTGGTGGTAGCTCTCATGATTGCTGCCGACTTGTTTTCCGTTCATTCTTCCTGATCCTGATGTGGCTCCGTGCATGGCTATTGGGAATCCCTCCCTTAGTTTGCTGTGGCCTCTGTGTCTTCCTGATGGGACCAGTTGTCTTCATGGCTTCCTGCTTCATGGTAAGATGTCCCAGGCTCATCTCAAATTGAGGAACATTCTACAAAGTAATTAACTAGTGCTCTGGAAAAGCGTAGATGAATAAGGCAAGACTGAGGAACTGCTGCAGTTTAAAGGAGACTCAACGGAAGGACAGCTAAGTACAGCATGAGGTCCAAGATCAGAGCCCAGAATAGGAAAAGGATATCAGTGGTAATAGTGGTGTATTGCAAAGGAAGCCTGTACTGTAGTTTAAAAAGTTACACTTCCAATTTTAAAAAATGACCACGTGGAGTTTACTTAGCTTCTTTAATTTTGTATTCATATCTCCTTTTATGTTGAAAATCTGTGTACCTAACATTAAGGAAATTCTTATCAACTTTATCCTGTTCAGTGTGAATATGTGTAGGCATGTATATATACAATATGTAAAATAAAATAGCTTCAAAATAATAATACCAACATTTACCTCAAAGAACAAGCCTACTGAGTACATTTTAAGATTTCTTGGTGTGGCCAGGCACAGTAGTGGCTCACTCCTGTAATCCCAGCACTTTGGGAGGCCGAGGGGGGTGGATCACATGAGGTCAGGACTTCAAGACCAGCCTGACCAACATGACAAAATCCCGTCTCTACTGGGAAAAAAAAAAGAAAAAAAAGGGTATGGTGTTGCACACCTGTAATCCCAGCTATTCAGGAGGCTGAGGCATGAGAATTGCCTGAGCCCGGGAGGCAGAGGTTGCAGTGAGCTGAGATTGTGCCATTGCACTCCAGCCTGGGTGACAGAGCAAGACTCTGTATTTAAAAAAAAAAAAAAAAAAAAAAAAATTTCTCTTGGTGAATTTGTAGGGTTTTCTGCGTAAATAGCTGTCCTTTAAATTAACAATAATTTTGCCGGGCGCGGTGGCTCACGCCTGTAATCCCAGCACTTTGGGAGGCCGAGGTGGGTGGATCACAAGGTCAGGAGATCGAGACCATCCTGGCTAACACGGTGAAACCCCGTCTCTACTAACAATACAAAAAATTAGCTGGGTGTGGTGGCCGGCGCCTGTAGTCCCAGCTACTCGGGAGGCTGAGGCAGGAGAATGGCATGAACCTGGGAGGTGGAGCTTGCAGTGAGCTGAGATCGCGCCACTGCACTCCAGCCTGCGCAACAGAGCGATACTCTATCTCAAAAAAAAAAAAATTAACGATAATTTTTCTCTAAATCATTATGTCACCAACCTGACATATAGTTGTTTATTTGAGATGGTGTTGTATTTTTAAGATTGTCTTGTGTGTCTAGAAAGACCATAATAACTGTTTAATCATGCAATAAACATTTCTGGTGTACATGAAAAGAAATTTTTAGAAACTGATTTAAGAGAGTTATGGTCTCCCAAGTGTTGAACAAGGTTGATAAAACTTCTTTTTTAGACTGTAGCTTTGACAGATGAGGTTAAAAATGTGTTACTAGCATAGAGGCCACAGATAGGAAGGGAGAACACTTGGACTTATCCTCTCTGCTTTTTACATAAAGAGACATTAAATAAAATCCTCCTGTCCAATTCAGTAAGGCCTGCGAGTGGTGTAAGGCACTGGCGAGTGCGGAGCCCGCCTTCAACTCCTTGGTCGGCTGTGTGGAAGTACTTTGCTTTGGCTGGAGGATTCTTTTCTCCCATTGAATATTTCCCTTTACAATCTAGAGATCTGCTTTTAGGCCATGCCGGGAGGCAATAGTTGATATATTTTAAATCTCAAAATATTTTAGGTCTCTTGAACCAGTAACAAAATATTTGTTATTTATTGAAACAGCTGTCAATACTTGTATCATTCTTTAAATCTCATTTTAGATTCACACATTAGGTAAGTTAAAAAAGCATTAAAATGATACGTTATTAACTGTTTAAATGAGGTGACTATCAGTAATCCCTTCTGTTGGAAAACTTTATAAGCCTTTTTTGAAAAACTGTCAGATTAGTAATTAAGAGATATATTGGTGTAAAGGTTACTTTTTTTAATAGGTAGGATGCAGAGTGTTCAAATCGGGATCACTGTGTTGTGCTGAGACTGTGGCATGGTTACTTTTTTAACCTTTTATTATAGAAAATTTCAAATGTACAAAGGTAGACAGAATAGTATAGTGAACTTCCTTCTCTCAGGTGGAAGAATAACGATGAACCTCAGGGTCTCTGCCCCACATAGTACTTTGAGGAAGATTTCACACATTGTATTATTTTCCCTGTAAATATTTCAATATACATCTCTAAAAGATAGGGTTTCCTTTTTATTAAACATAACCACATCGTTATCACATCTGAGAAACTAGAATCATTTTTTAGTATTATCAGTTGTCCTTTTACTGTTGTTTCTCTGATTATCGTTTTTCTTTTTTAGTAGTTGGTTTGTTTCCTTTATCCAAGTAAAGCCATAGTCTGACTGACCAGCGTGTGTCTTACGTCTCCTTTTGTGTTGAAGAAGCCAGTTCCGAAACTTTCCACTGTGTGGAATCCCTTGGTGGTCCCCTGGCTCTTGTATTTGCGGTTAGTTCGTAATAAGATTTAGGGTCATGATCACATGTTGGTTTTTGTTATCTTTTTTTTTTTTGCAAGACCACTTCATATATGGTATTGTTGGTATTTCCGTCAGGAGGTATATAAATTCCAATTGTCTAAAAAAATACAGGTATTAAATAAAGTGTTATTTTAGTTGATTTTTATTTTTCCCTTTGGCTATCATAAGAATCTTAAAAATCTGGAAATTAATGTTGGCAAAAGCATCCACAGCGCCTTCTATGACTTGCCCATTTGATTGCTAAACTATTAATATGTCTTTAGTTTCTGGATTTCGTGGTTGTGTGGGAATTGATGTTTAATGACATGTAGGTTTCTTTTACAATGGAATCCATCTGTTCTCTCGTAGAAAACCCCCTCAGGGAGTGGGAGCTACTCCCCTCGTGTGTTACTTCAACATCACCTGGAAGTATTTGCTCAGGTTTTTCAGAATCATCTACATAGTTAAAAATAATAATAATAATAATAAAAAAGTCCAAACTACAAAATTGCAAAATCACAATTTGCTCCAGGGATTCTTCATTGCATCCGAGGCCTGAGAACCAAGGACCTAGAATCTCAGTCCAGATGTTCCCGAAATCTGTGTCTTCTACAAGTTAGTTACTCACATTCTGTTTTCAAGATCTTTTTGAGTCCCGATAGCATTTATACTAGTACTTAATATATTTATTTAAATTGATTCACTCTTTTCTTTGTTTAATAAGAAGACGTTGGTACTACACAGACATAAAAAGAAGATACATATACATTAAAATGAAATATATCTGTTAAAGTGTAACATTTGTCATACATCCCGTATTTATTTCAAGCATTTTTTCTCTGCTAGCTTACATTTATTTCCAGCTCTTTTTGATAGCATTTAGATGTTTTTGTGATTGATGATACAGTTTACACAATTGGATGAGATTGCCTTTGATCATCAGATTATTTCATTAACAAGGTTTTTGAGAATTTATCACAAGCAGATTATTGCGAATAGGGAGCTCCACTATACCATGAAAAACCTGTATGGCTACCTAGTAAGACAAAAATAGTTACACTTTTAAAGGTATTTTTTCTGACAGTCTGATGTATGTTTTCAGATGTACCTAAAAAGATACCTGGGTTAAATAACAATATTTATCTTGTTTGGGAAGCAGTGTAGCTTGCAGTAAAAAGAAATGCCTTGAAGTCAGACCTGGATGTCTAGGAATCCTCAGGATACGGGATTGTTACAGTTATCCCTTCTGATCCTTTTGAGAGAGTTTCACTCTGTCGCTTAGGCTAGAGTATGTTTAGGGGCGATCTCGGCTCACTGCAACCTCTGCCTCATGGGTTCAAGTGATTCTCCTGCCTCAGCCTCCTGAGTAGCTGGGATTACAGGCACCCGCCACCACACCTGGCTAATTTTTAGTAGAGATGGGGTTTCACCACTTTGGCCGGTCTGGTCTTGAACTCCTGACCTCAGGTGATCCGCCCGCCTCAGCCTCCCAAAGTGTTGGTGAGCCAGTTACTTCTTACGTTGTTTGGGAAAATTGAGTGAGATGTTACATGTGAAGTTTAGTGTCTAGACATTGGATTGAGTAAATGCTTCATGAAGAACCACTTTGAAAAACATCATTTCTTTCAATGTCATTTCAACATGATGAGAAAGAAGTCAGTTCCTGGCCAGGACCACTGTCTGTGTGGAGTTGGCACGTTCTCTCCATGTCTGCGTGTTTTCTTACGGGTATTCCAGTTTCTTCCCACATCCCAAAGGTGTGCATGTTCGGTGGATTTGCATGTCTTCCTGGTCCCAGTCTGAGTGAGTGAGTGTGGGTGTGTGTGTGAGCGGCCCTGTGATGGGATGGTGTCCTCTCGGGGATGGTTCCCACCTTGCTCCTTGAGCTGCTGGGATAGGCTGTGGCCACCTGTTACCCTGAACTGGAATAAGCAGGTTGAGAAATGAATGAATCAATATAAATTGTTGTGAAACAAAAATTCATAAAGTCTACTATAATAATATAAATGCACAACAAATAGTGCTCAGTGAGCCTGCCCTATTGGTTATCATAGTTTGTTTTTTAACTACTTGGTGGTAGGAATATTCTTTTTTTATTTTTGTTTTTATTTTTTGAGACAGGATCTTATTCTGTTCCCTAGGATGGAGTGCAGTGGTGCGATCTCGGCTTACTGAAACCTCCACCTCCTGGGCTCAGGTGGTCCTCCTATCCCAGCCTCCGAAGGAGCTGGGACTACAGGCACGTGCCACCACACCCGGCTAATTTTTGTATTTTGTGTAGAGATGAGTGTCGCCATGTTGTCCATGCTGGTCTCCAACTCTTGGGCTCAAGCATTCTGCTTGCCTTAGCCTCCCAAAGTGCGGGATTATAGGCGCGAGCCACTGCGCCCTGCCGTAATATTCTTACAGTTTTCACTTTGCAAACATTTATTCCTTGATTGGTTAAATCCAGTGGTGGTTATACCACCACTATGACCACTGTCACTTTCTGACTCACCCAAAATTAGGTACGTAATTGTCTTTCTTGTTAATCTTTTAAAAATGTGTGTGGCTCATATTTATTGCCATTTTAAATATTAGAAGGAGTTTTGGGTCTTTAATTAGAAGTTTGGTGATATTTTTGTGACTGGAAATATGCTGTAGGAGCTTAACACTTGTTTGTGCCTGTGGTACAATTGATTTTGCTTCACGTCCTTTCGCTTGAAGTCAGTTTCCAAGAACCTGTTGATGATGTTAAGTGAGGACACTTAAATATATCTGAATTTAGCATTCATCAACAACTGTTTTTATTTCTGGAGTCCTATTAACTTTGTAATTTTCTGGGTTTTTGTTTGTGTGTGTGTGTGTGTTTTTTTTTTTTTGTTTGTTTGTTTGTTTTTGAGACAGTCTTGCTCTGTCACCCAGGCTGGAGTGCCGTGGTGTGATCTCAGCTCACTGCAACCTCTGTCTCTCTCAAGTTCAAACAATTCTAGTGTCTCAGCCTCCTGAATAGCTGGGACTCCAGGCATGTGCCACCAGGCCCAGCTCATTTTTGTATTTTCAGTAGAGATGGGGTTTCGCCATGTTGGCCAGGCTGGTCTCGAACTCCTGGCCTCAGGTGATCCACCTGCCTTGGCCTCCCAAAGTGCTGGTATTACAGGCGTGAGCCACTGCACCTGGCCTGTTATTTGTTTTTAAGACAGAGTTTTGCTCTGTCGCCGAGGTGGGAGTGCAGTGGCGAGATCTCAGCTAACTGCAACCTCCACCTCCTGGTTCACGCGATTCTAGTGTCTCAGCCTCCTGAGTAGCTGGGATTATACAGGCATGTGCCACCATGCCTGGCTAATTTTTGTATTTTTAGTAGATTGGGGTTTCACAGTGTTGGCCAGGCTGGTCTCGAACTCCTGGCCTCAAGTGATCTGCCCTCCTCGGCCTCCCAGAGTGCTGGAATTATAGGTGTGAGCCACTGCACCCTGCCAGTTTTCTGTTATTTTGTATTTTTTATTGTTTTGATGGAGTCTCACTCTGTTGCCCAGGCTGTAGTGCAGTGGCATGATCTTGGCTCACTGCAACCTCTGCCTCCCAGGTTGAAGTGATTCTCCTGCCTCAGCCTCCCAAGTAGCTGGGACTACAGGTGCCCGCCACCGTTCCTGGCTAGTTTTTAAATTTTTTAGAGAGATGAGGTTTCACCATGTTGGCCAGGCTGGTCTCGAACGCCTTACCTCAGGTGATCCATCCGCCTCGGCCTCCCAAAGTGCTGGGATTTATAGGTATGAGCCACCACATCTGACCTTTTTTTTTTTTTTAATTGTGTATACATAAGGTATATAGCATGATGTTTTGATATACATAGTGAAATGGTTACTGGAGTCCAGCCCATTAATATAGCCATCATTTCATATAGTTTTACCCTTCTTTTGTGTTAGTAAGAGCACCTAAAATATACTCTCAGCAAGTTTCGAGTGTACAATACAATATTACAACTATAGGCCTCATGTTGTACATCAGATCTCTAGACTTACTCATCCAAAATATCTGTAACTTGGTACCCTTTGACATTGATCTCTTCATTTCCTCCCTACCTGCTAGCCCCCTGGTAGTCACCATTTTGTGTGTGTGTGTGTGTGTGAGTGAGGTGGAGTTTCACTCTTGTTGCCCAGTCTGGAGTGCAATGGCACTATCTCAGCTCACTGCAACCCCTGCTTCCCGGGTTCAAGCGATTCTTGTGCCTCAGCCTATAGTAGCTGGGATTACAGGCATGCACCACCACACCCAGCTAATTTTGTATTTTTAGTAGAGACTGGATTTCTCCATGTTGGTCAGACAGGTCTCGAACTCCTGACCTCAGGTGATCTGCCTGCTTTGGCCTCCCAAACTGCTGGGATTATAGGCTTGAGCCACTGTGCCCGGCGGTAGTCACCATTTTATTCTCTGTTTCTATGTATTTGACTTTTTAAGATAGTAACTTTCACATATGAGTGAGATCATGCAGTATTTGTGTTTTTGTGCTGGTGTGTTTCACTTGGCATAATATCCTTCAGGTTCACCCATGTTATAGCATACGACGGGGTTTCCTTCTTTTTAAAGGCTGAATAATACATAATTCCATAGCATAGACAGACAGATACACACATCCCAATTTCTATATCCGTTTGTCCATTGATGGACAACTATGTGGTTTCTATGTCTTGACTATTGTGAATAATGCTGCAATCCACATGGGAGTGCAGATATTCTTATGAGGTGGTGATTTCATTGCCTTTGGATAAATACTCAGAAAGGATAATATGGTAGTTCTATTTTCAAATTTTTGAGCAACTTCCATACTGTTTTCATAATGGCCGCACCAATTTACATTCCCACCAACAGTGTGCAAAGGTTCTGTTTCTTCCACGCCCTGTTATCTCTTGTCTGACTGATAATAGTCATTCTGACAGTTGTGAGGTGAAATATCATTGTGGTTTTGTTCTGCATTTCCCCAATAATTAGTGATGCCGAGCACCTTTTCGTATTTCTATTGCCATTTTTCTGTTGTCTTGGGAAAAATGCCTGTTCATGCCTTTGATCATTTTTTAACCAGGTTATTTATTTATTTATTTATTTTGCTATCGAGTGGTGTGAGTTCCTTATATATCTTGGATATTAAGCCTTCAATTTTCTGTTTTTTAAAAGACTTGAGTTTCCAGGCACAAATGGGTTTATTTGTGTCAGCACATGAGTTTCCAAGTTTTAGAGTGTGGCCATCTTCACCAAAATGGTGTGAAGAAGAAACTTACTTATTTAAAAAATTAAGTATCACTTCTTGGTGAGTAAGGTATGCATATGGGAAGACTTCTTTAAACTTTTTTGAATTCAGAGGGATAAACGTGTGTCCTGGAAAACTTGAGGATTTTAATTTTATTTAAATAATCATACTGTGCCCTTCAAATGACCTGTTTAATGTCTTTGCCATTTTACAGCATCCTGAGGTTAGCATTACACTTCTCCCAGTGGAGCCCATGACTTCTGATCAGGACGCTAAGGTTGTGGCTGAACCGCAGACGCAGAGAGTCCAGGAGGGCAAGGACAGCGCTCATCTGGTGGGTGCTGTCGAATGGGGTGGTGGGGAGTCCATTGCTTTTTTTGATAAAGGACTCTATATTGGAGTTAGTAAGGAGTTCTAAACAGGAACACTGGCACATCTTAGGATCTGCATACAGATATTAGAGTCTCGTAGGGGAGAAAAGATTTCTTACCCATCTGAGGATCATGGCTGAGACCCCTGCAACAAAAGACAGATGAACAAGAGAAAAGCATACACATTTATTTAGTAATAAGTTGTATGTGACATGGGAGCCTCCACAAAGGAAGAACCAAAGAAACAGGGAAAACTGTATTTTTTTTTTGCGAAGTCTAATGCAGATGTTGACAGTTGTGGAGAAGCATGATTGGACAAAAGGGATGTGACCTAGAGCTAATAAACTGGAGAAGCTTAGCAAGGCTGTTGTGTTCAGGTTTTTCTTGACATCCCTGTGTGTTACTGCTCCTGGTACAGAGCAGGGCCCCTCTGGAAGGGTCTTCAGGGGAATGTCAGCTGTGTTTTATGGCCTGCTTCAAGGGAGAAGGGGCAAGGAGAATTCTTTCTAGTTTCCATGGCCTGATTCTGCTGTTTCCTCAAATGTCAATGTGCCATATTTTTTGGGGAGAAAGTCCTGAGCCCCATCAGTCTGAAAAATGTAGAGGTAGCTTAGTAGAGGAAACTATAAGTAGTAGATGATAACAAAAACAAAATTGTTATAGCTCTAGATACTCAAATCCATTTATTTTTTAAATCAAGGATATGTAGTGATTTGTAAATAGTTTAATAACATTATAGTCACTATAGTAGGATGTATTTAAAGAGTTAGGATTTTAATATACATTTTTTTGACTACTTTTGTTCATTTAAACATTTTATGTCAAGCAGTAATATTTAAAGTTCCAAAGTGGCTTTGAGCAAAGTAGCTTTTCTTAGTTTTCCCCATTGAATCTACAAAGAACTTTATCTATGATGTTCATTCAGAATTTAAAAATTTTAAGCCTCCTACATTCTGAATATCTTATGAATTCATGAATTTGTCATGTGAAATGTGCATTTCTTGGTGGGTTTAGTTTTGCCTAATTACTGTGGTTTGAAAATATGTTGTTTCTTTTTAAACATTGTACTGATGTTGTCTTTGTTTTCAATTTTACAGATGAATGGTCCTATATCTCAAACCACTTCTCAGACAAGTTCCATCCCACCTTTGAGTCAGGTAATTCAATTTTGAGATTAATCACAGATTTTTTAATCACAGTCAAGGCTCAGAGATACTTCCTTAAGAAAAATGTTTATTGTAACAAAAATTAGAAAATGTAGATATTTCTCAAAAAGTTGTGGTAGGGGATCCATTCATCACCACAACCCCTGGGTATGGTAACTGTCAATACTGTATGTCCTTTCTAGCTTCTGTGCGTGTCTGTTTTGTGTGCAGTTCTGCCAACAGCAGCATACCATTTAGATTAATTTATTTTCAAATATTACAAAATTTTTATTGTATCATTGATAATCTGTTATATGCGGATGAGTAGCTTTACATTTTGGTAGCTTGTGTTCCTTAAACCACACAAATTGAATAGTAAGCTTTTACTCAGAAAATTTGTTTCACATTTTAGCTGTGATTAATGAAAGAATAAGGAAGTAGAATTCATTGGTTTTTAAATCCTACCTTTCATCATTTGCATATGCATATATAAAGTGCTTCAGAGAGCTACTACTGGAAATTCAGTTTGATCAAAGGATCTTATAAATTGCATAAAATTTAAAAAGTAAAAATATTTTATGTAAAAAATAAAAATTACCATAAATCTCATCTATTCCCCCCCCATTATAAGCAGTTCACGTAGGAATTGAGGAGTTGGATTGTTAATCCAATTGTTTTTTTTTTCAAATAGAGACGAGGTCTCACTGTGTTGCCCAGGCTAGTCTCGAGCTTCTGAACTCAAAGTGATCCTCCCGCCTTGGCCTCCCAAAGGGCTAGGATTACAGGCGTGAGCCACCATGCCTGGCCAGCTTGTAACAAAGAAGAATTTTAAAAAAACAAAAGACACCTTCTAAATTATTATATTTTATAAATATATTATTTATGTAAAATTTTTATGTATTCTGTTTTACATTGATTTTTAATTTATTTTTTTATTATTATTTTTTTGAAACAGAGTTTCCCTCTTGTTGCCCAGGCTGGTGTGCAATGGTGCGATCTTGGTCACCGCAACCTCCGCCTCCTGGGTTCAAGGGATTCTCCTGCCTCAGCCTCCCGAGTAGCTGGGATTACAGGCATGCGCCATCACACCTGGATAATTTTGTGTTTTCAGTAGAGACATGGTTTCACCATGTCGGTCAGGCTGGTCTTGAACTTGTGACCTCAGGTGATCTGCCTGCCTCGGCCTCCCAAAGTGCTGGGATTACAGGCATGAGCCACCGTGCCCGGTGCACATTGATTTTTTAAAAATATCCAAATATAAGACGCTTGGTAGTCTAAGAAGAAAATTATATAAGACATAAAGTAGATATCCCTTGAGTATAAATCTTTAAGGGAGTTTGTTTGCTTCAACAAGTTCCTGTTCTCTCCGTGGTTGACTTTCAGTCCAACATAATATTCAGACATCTTTAGAAACCTATTGTAGGCATTGCTATGAATGTTTTCTAATTAGCATTGTTCATAGTGCACCTAAAGGTGTGGAGAGTTACATGCTTCATAGTTGACCAGGAGTTTGCATTGGTTTAGTGATTAGGTGGCAGTGCTCAGCCAGTTGTTATGATGGGCAAGTGAATACATTTAGCAGTCAGGGTTGAGGAACCAGGCTATTTACAGTTTAGCCATTCTGTCAGAGTTGAGTAGGAGGAGACGTGCAATAGAGATACCCAAAGAAATACATGAATAATTCAGGAGCAGATTTGCATTTATCCACTGGTACTATTTAGTTGTATTTATTAGACAGCTTCCTGCCCTCTCCAAAAAGCTTACTGAGCTAGTAACTATTTACAGGGTTAGCCAAAGAACACAAAAAAGTGATCTCTATTAGACTGTAAGAATATGGTTTCCCTGAGATCGAGACCATCCTGGCTAACACGGTGAAACCCCGTCCCTACTAAAAATACAAAAAATTAGCCAGGTGTGGTGGCACACGCCTGTAGTCCCAGCTACTCGGGAGGCTGAGGCAGGAGAATGGCGTTAACCTGGGAGGCAGAGCTTGTAGTGAGCCGAGATTGTGCCACCACACTCCAGCCTAGGCAGCAGAGTGAAACTCTGTCTCAGAAAAAAAAAAAAATGGTTTCCCTATTTAGTATGAGAACAATATATTATAATGAGTGACATGATTGTCAGAATTACTCAAATTTGTGTACATGTTTTCTCCACTAAACTGTAAACTTCTGGTACTGTGTTCTGTTCATTAAAAAAAAAAACTTTATTAAAGTATAATTTACATTCTGTAAAACTCACCCATTTAAAGTATGCAATTGAATTATTTTTAGTAGATTTACTGAGTTGTGTAATCATCACCATAATGTAGTCTTAGAACTTTTACATTACCCCATTAAACCCCCAGCCCACCCCCAGGCCCACTTATAGTTAGGCCCTGTCTCTAAGGATGGGAGCATCCTTGGGCAGGCACAAACATGCTCTGTGTCTCCACATTCTGTTCCCTTCTGTGGCCAGCTCAATGCATTGTGTCTGGTAGGCAAGCAGCTAGTACTGCCTGCATAAAATTTGAGTATCCATCCATTCATCAAAACTGAGTGCAAGTGATCATGATGGCTAAGACATTTTCTATGGAGAGGTTGTTCAGATGAGCGTGAGATACACGTCTTCGAGGAGCCCTAACACAGCATGCAAGATTGCATGATCACATTGTGTGTGAGCCTTAGGTACAAGATGAGCGTACACCTGGAGGTGGGAGGCACTGAGACGTAGGTGAGTCTAGAAGAAGCACTCTTTATCTTGCCCCTAGTCAAGCAAGGTCATTTTGAATGTTCTCACCTTGAGGTCATAAGGATCTACTGATTTTGAAGTATATCGTACCAATAGTTATGATTACAGTACTTTGCATTAAGTTTACCTGAGTTCCAGGCAGGGACAGTGATGAAACTCTCGATTCCCTCAATATATCAGAAACAGGAAGGAATCTAGGACGCGGAGTGGTCAGAGGGATGGGAGGAAAACCAGAGGACAGTGTGGGGTGGAGATAGAGGCAGGGAGGCTGACTCAAGTGAAGTGTAGTAAGGTAACAAAGCGAGGGGTCAGTTGTGACCTTAGCAAGAGTATTTCCCAGGACTGATAGGAGCAAAAGCCAGATTGCAGTGGGTGAGAGACAGGAGTGGTAGACACAACTTAGACGGTGACATTCCTCCTAAGATCTTGGCTTTGAAGGTAAGGTGATAGAAGGCGAGAGGGGATTGAAAGGGTTTTGAGGGTGTTTATGATGAAGAGTGACCACTGGCAGTGGGCCACAGCGATGGGTTCTCCTTCTTGAGGAAGAAAAAATATCTGACCACTGGTATTCAGCAACAGTGTCGTTTGGTTAAAGGTTCTTTACCTTCCCTGTTAGCGCCACAAACTTCATCTATAGCAAACATCATTCTCAGCGGCTTTTTGCCCCTCCTGAAGCCCACTCAGGGACTCCAGTTCTTACTCCTGTGTGCGACCAGCCAAGTACCTGCTTTTCCCTTGGAGACACTACATCAGCCTGGAAACCATTTTCTGTTGAAATGATCCTCTTGTGTTTTATCATAAATCAACAGCAGGTTTGAGAGAGGAATGTGAGTGAATGATGATGTTTAAGGGACAGGTAATATTAGGTAGAAGTGTTTATGTTAAATTACCTCCTCAGAAGAAAGATGCAAAGTCACAGCAAGTCTTTTCTAATCATAGTGTGAAACTGGAAATCTGAAATTGGAAATCTAACTCATCCTCATACTAAACTCTATGTACAATTCAGCAAAACATCTATATCAGAATGATTTTTTTTTTTTTGAGTCAGCCTCACTCTGTTACTCAGGCTGGCTATAGTGCAGTAGTGCGATCTCTGCTCACTGCAGCCTCTGCCTCCCGGGTTCAAGCTATTCTTGTGCCTCAGCCTTCTGAGTAGCTGGAATTACAGGCATGCACCACCATGCTTGGCTAATTTTTGTATTTTTCGTAGAGATGGGGTTTCGCCATGTTGCCCAAGCTGGTCTCGAACTCTGGCCTCAAGTGATCTGCCCGCCTTGGCCTCCCAAGGTGTTGGGATTACAGGCTTGAGCCACTGCACCCGGCCCAGAATTTTTTTTTTTAAACTCCTTTACAGATGGTAATACCAAAAAACTTTAGTCCCTTCCTTTATCAGTTTTCAAAAAACCACCTTTGCCTTTTGATGACACAGCTTCTGAATGAATAACTATTAATTAGCAATTCAGATTAATTATTGCAGGCCTATATTTTGAATAAGAGTAGGCTTAGCAATCAGAAAGCTTGAATTTCTATGAAAATATCCAACTCCTGTATTTGTACGCAAGTGACACGTGGCTGCTCTTGGTATGTTAATCTTGCAGGTTAGACCTTTTGGCAGGTTGTTACCACCTTGTCAGTCTGTTTTAAGAACAGACTTGGGCCAGGTGCGGTGGCTCATGTCTGTAATCCCAGCACTTTGGGAGGCTGAGGCGGGCGGATCACCTGAGGTCAGGAGTTCGAGACCAGCCTGACCAATATGATGAAACCCCGTCTCTACTAAAAATACAAAAATTAGCTGGGTGTGGTGGTGCACGCCTGTAATCCCAGCTACTCAGGAGGCTGAGACAGGAGAATCGCTTGAACCCGGGAGGCGGAGGTTGCATTGAGCCGAGATAGTGCCATTGCACTCCAGCCTGGGCAACAAGAGCGAAACTCTGTCTCAAAAAAAAGAAAAGAAAAGACTTGGCCGGATGTAGTGGCTCACACCTATAAATCCCAGCACTTTGGGAGGCCAAGGCGGGAGGATTTCTTGAGCCCAGTTCAAGACCCCATATCTACAAAGCAAAAAAGAACAGGCATGGTGGTGTGTGCCTGCTGTCTCAGCTACTCAGGTGGCTGATGGGGGAGGATTGCTTGAGCCCAGCAGGTCGAGGCTGCAGTGAGCTGTGATTGCACCACTGCACTCCAGCCTGGGTGACAGAGGGAGACCCTGTCTCTAAAAAAATAAAAACAAAAGACCTAAGAACTTTCCTTAAGGATGTTGATACAGTTTCCTGTCTTAGAAATATGTTTGTTACTATGTCAGGAAGTGTAAAGCTGCCTTTACCTCAGCATGATTTAGTGACAAAACAATCCATTTACCCCCAGAGTGTATGCACGGTTCTTGGTCTCCTGGTACTTCGGAGAACTTGCCCCAGGATGGGGGATACTCTGACCAGATGCCCTCTTTTCCTCTTAGAATGTATTCGTGCTGAGACGGAGTAGATCCTTTTTAATGTAGGATATTTCTTTTTGATGACATAGTATTGTAACATTTTGATTGTAGCATTTTGGCCACTGACAGAAGGAATGCCTTCTATAACACATACCCGTGATCTTTTCAGCTCCAAGGCATATTTAAAAATAGAGGGATTTCTTCATTCTCTGTTTGGCTTACTATTCTTAGTTGTATCCTTGTGTAAATGATTTACATGCTGCTAAAACTTCTCTTGTTGTGGAAGTGTGACAGATGTAATAGTAGTCTTTCAAGGCACTGGGATCAGTAAAAACATCTCTCAACTTAGAACATTTTGTAATTTCTTTAAAAAAATTAGTAATTTTATTGCTTAGTATTTGCATCATTTAGAATATGACAAATAGTTTTTTTGCAAACTCTTTTTCATTTTAGGATTCAGTTTAATTGCTATTAAGGCATTTTGTTCAATAGTAGATTTATAAATCAACTTTGTGTGGCAGTACCATGCAAACAGTTGTACTGAGAGAATAGTCACATCACTGGGAGGAAGCGACAGATGTGTCGGAGTCCGCTGCCTGGCAACTGGCTGCCTTCCTAGGCCCCGGTGTCCTTACATGTGTGTGGAAATACAACACATACAGCTATGTGCACAGATCGTAAAAGTACAACTCAGTGTATTTCTGCAAAATAAACACACGTAGGTAATCCACTGCCAGATCCTGAAACAGCAATTTTCAGTTTTGGCAGCAATTCGAAGACATGTCACAATTATAGAAATTGTGAAAGTAGGAGAAACGTGTATCTTCAAATCAGGGAACTTGTGTAGATGAGATACATGAGTCACGCAGGGGTGTCAGAGTTTCTGAGATGGTCAGGCTGCTTCATTTTTTGTTTGGACTTCTCATCTCATGGAGCCAGTGCTTCTCACCTGGACAGCTGCAGTCACTCCTCACTGGTGTCCCCAACCCACCCTTCCTTTCTAACACAGTGGCCAGAGGATCCCTTCGAGAAGGCCAAGTCAGAACCTGCCACTCCTGTGCTCAACATCACAGTTAGCCTGAGTTCTGGCAGGTCCCTAGCCTTCGTAGTCTGGCACCTGTCCTCTCTGACTCTGCTGCCCACTGGCTCTCCTCTGGCACGCTGCTCCAGCCCCAGTGGGCTCTTGACCCTTGACCATTCCAGCATCACCTTACCGCAGGGCTCTCTGCCTCAATTGGTTCTGGTGTGCCCCTTTCCCAGAAGTCTTTGAGGCTTATGCTCTTACCTTTCTCAGTCTCGGCCTCACCTTCTCAGCGAGCCCCATCTATCCGCATCCGTCTCCTCACTTCTGGCTTGCCTCAGACCCTTTACGTGTAGCAGTTAGCACCTTCTAACAATGTTAGGTATTTGTTAGATTTAGTGTTTGTCTCCCTGGACTAGAATGCAAGCTCCATCAAATCTGGGGTTTAGTTTTGTTTACTGATGTATTCCAGTGTCTTCCTGACAGGTAGGTGCTCCATAAATGTCTCCAGTGTAAAAGAATATATCACATATGGTGGTAATCACTGCAGACTCTCATGGCTCTTACTGTGCACTCTCCTAACACTTCCGTTTACTCATAAATTCCTGTTAGCCCTACACCTGTCTTACCCCTAGGTACTGTTATCCCCATTTTACAAATGAGGAAACTGAGACACAAAGAGGTTTAAGTAATTTATCCCCAAGATTACTGGACTAAAAAGTGGTAGAACCAGGATTTGAACCCAGGCAATCTGGCTTCAGAGTCCAAACTCAAGAGGAAATACTTTGTATTTGGCACCGTTATTTCATTTAAAAAGAGAAACCAGAAGGAAATAATTTAAAACACTCAGCTCTTTCAGCCATCTGAAAGGCTTTTCAGAATTGTTTGTTTTTTTAGAGACAGGGTCTTGCTCTGTCACCCAGGCTGGAGTGCAGTAGAACAGTAATAGCTCACTGCAGCCTTGAACTTTTGGACTCAAGTTATCCTCCTACCTCAGCCTCCCAAGTAGCTGGTACTACAGACACGCGCCCCCACACCCAGCTAACTTTTAATTTTTATTTGTAGAGATGGGGTCTTGCTGTGTTGGCGAGGCTATTTCAGATATCTTTAAGGCTGTTCCCCCATCACAGGCCCATCACATTTGCCCTCTAGGAGGGCAGAAGGGTTTTGGTAGATGAGCACTGGGGGCCCTCCACAGGCTTGCTGCCCAGAGCCGCCTCGGACCTCTGCTCCCCACATCCTGTGCATTGCTCCTTAGTCACCTCAGCTGCTGCTTGAGTGGGCCCAGTGGTGGCTTGAGCTGCGGCTCCAGAAGGTACAAGTCATAAACCTTGGTGGCATCCATGTGGTGCTGATTTTTCAGGCAAGAAGAATGCTAGAGCTGTGGGGCAGCCTCCACCTAGATTTCAAGAGATGTCATGGACAGCCTGGGGGCCCAGGCAGAGACTTGTCACAGGAGCAGAGCCACTGCAGAGAGCCTGTACTCGGGCAATGGCAAGCAGAAATTTGGAGTTGAACCTGCTGCAGAGAAGCCCCCACCAGGGCATTGCCTAGTAGAGTCATGGGAGTGGCCTGGGAGCCTTAAACTGTGGAGCTGCCAGCTTGCAGCATCAGCCTGGGAGAGCTGTGGGCAGGAGACTCCAACCCCTGACAGCTGCTGGGTGGACTGAGCCCAGCAAAGCCATCGGGTGGGGCTGCTTGAGGCCCTGGGGAGCCAACCCTGTTCCACTGTGCCCAGAGGGTTGGGACATGGAGTCAAAGGAGATGATTCTCCAGAGAGGCTTAATATTTAATATTGTCTGCCCTGTTGGGTCTTGAACTTGGGACCTCTTGCTTCTTCTTGCCTATTTCTCCCTTTTGGAAATAGATTTTTTTTTCTTTTCTTTTTTCTGAGACGGAGTTTTGCTCTTGTTGCCCAGGCTGGAGTGCGATGGTGTGATATCTGCTCACTGCAGCCTCTGACCCGCTGGGTTCAAGCGATTCTCCTGCCTCAGCCTCTCAAGTAGCTGGGATTACAGGCATGCACCACCACACCCGGCTAATTTTTTGTATTAGTAGAGACGGGGTTTCTCCATGTTGGTCAGGCTGGTCTCGAACTTTTGATCTCAGGTGATCCGCCTGCTTTGGCCTCCCTAAGTGTTGGGATTACAGGCGTGAGCCATCGCACCTGGTCGGGAATTTTTTTGTGTGTGTGCCTGTCCCACCATTGTATTTTGGAAACACATAACTTGTTACTTTCAACACTCAGGGCTGGAGAGGAATTGATCTTGGGGTGAATTGTGCCTTGAGTCTCACCCTATCTGATTCAGATGAGACTCTGGACTTTTAAGTTGATGCTGAAATGAGTTAAGACTATTGGAGGTATTGGGATGGAATGAGTATTTTTTGCATTATAAGAAGGACATGAATTGTGGGAGCTGGAATGGAATGCTGTGTTTTTCATGTGTCCCCCAAAGTTCATGTGTTGGAAAATCAGTCCGCCGTGCAGCAGCATTGGGAGGTAGGGCCTTCTAAGGGGTGATAAGGACACCAGGCTCTGCCCTCACAAGTGGAGGAGTGGATGAGTGCCATTGTGGTGGGAGTGACTGCATTTCCTCACATGTGTGATGGTGCAGCACAAAGGCCTCTCCAGAAGCAGCCTCTCGACTTGAGACTCTCAGCCTCCAGAATTGTGTGAAATAATCTCTGTTCTTTATAAATTGCCCCATCTCAGGTATTCTGTTAGAGCAGCACAGAATGGTTTCACAAAGGACTTCAAGGCTTGAAAAGTGTGGGGAGGAGACTGGAGAAAGAAACAACATTGAGGCAGTGTGCTGGCATTGGTTAGTATGAGATAGAAGAGGTCGGGGGAATGGTATCTTAGAAGCCGAGATCATAGAGGTAGGCTGGGGCCAGATTATGGGGGACTTTGAAGTGGGACTCTGAGATTCTATTCCAACTACTTAAAGTCTGCCTAACAGCTCTTTGAAATAGATGTCGGTGTTGGCTCCATTTTACAAATGAGAAAACTGAGACAAAGAGGTTAAATAATTTGCCAGAGATGACACATGTAAAAATGGAGCTGAGACTCAAAGCCAGGCAGGTGATCTCGTGAGCTTCTCTGCTTTACTATGTCCTTTCATTTTACAGCTGGTATGAATCGTTTGTGTCTTTAGTGCAGAACGTTTTTGCCATGTAGATGTTTAATTCTCTTTGAGTAGCATAACAGTATGGTCAATGTATGGTCTGAGTTTTGTTTTGTCATTCGAAGCTGCTACTAAAGTTCTTGGTGCCTCATTTCCCTTATCTGTACAGTGAATTAGTAGTATCTACCTTGGGGGTTGTTAAGGGTGCAAATTAAGACGTGTGACAAAATGGATGCATAGATGTAATTAATATTTTGTGAAACATAGTGCTATATAAAGTGTTGACTACCATTATCATCATAATCATTATGATGATTTCAGTACTTGAATTTTAGTATATTCATAAGTGTTCTTGTTACCTTTATGTTTAAGTGTAATTCCTAAACTTTTTATCATAAAAATGTTAATATTTTTAAAAAGTAAAACATTAATAGGACACCAGTCATAACTCATAGGTTAAAGAAACAACAAAATCTCTCTTGCAGAGGAACTAAAAGAATTATTTTGTTTTTCACATAGCCTGTCAGAACCATAATAAGAAAAAGAATTACTTATACTAAAAGCAAAACATCACAGATGTCAATGTAAGACAAGACCCATTATGTGAGTCCACAGTTAGGGACTGGACCACATAGTACATGAGCAACTTGTTTAGTTGTGGACAACGCCTGTTTTTCACCAGATGGCAGGCTGTGCGTTCCTGCATCAAGTACTTTCAAGAGACTTTCTAGTTCTGGTACCAGAGCTTGTAGATCTATTTTCCCTTTTTTTTCTTGTTCCTTCCTTTTTCTTAATTGGAGTGCTCAGACATCTGCAGAAGTGGAGCGAATAATACCATGAACCAAATGCAGCATCATTAACTTGAACATTACCCATCGCCACATTCGACTACTGTTTTGTTTTGTTTTGTTTTGTTTGAGATGGAGTCTCACTCTTGTCACCCAGGCTGGAGTGCAGTGGCGCAATCTTGGCTCACTGCAACCTCTGCCACCTGGGTTCAAGTGATTCTCCTGCCTCAGCCTTCCGAGTAGCTGGAACTACAGGCACACACTCCCATGCTCAGCTAATTTTTTGTATTTTTAGTAGAGACGGGTTTTCACCATGTTGGCCAGGCTGGTCTTGAAACTCCTGACCTCTGGTGATCCACCCACCTCGGCCTCCCAAAGTGCTGGGATTACAGGCATGAGCCACCACGTCCGGCCTGGACTACTGTCTTTAAATCTTTTCCTCCCTGTATGCACATGACTGTTTTAACTTTTATATATGTGTGTATATATTTACTATATTTGCTAGGGCATTTTAAAGCAAATTGTAGATAATGTGTCACTTTATCCCAGATACTTCAGCATGCATCTCTAACTGACATCATTCCATTTTCACACCTGACACAATTAGTAATAATTTCTTGATACCTACAGATACTATTTTTTATTGCTATTTATTTTTTTGCTCTCCTTTGATTTTTTCGTCTCTTTTTAAATTGCTATTTATTTCAGACATCATTTCGTAAAGCTAGAAAATTAGATACAACTGTGAGTAGCTATATATTTTACGGAACAAAATTCTGATACTGTTTTCCTTTGGGGGAATTTATGAACTATTTTATTTAGTTACCACCATCCCATGAAATATAATTTGGGAAATACTGGAACACTGTAGAAAAACCAGAAGCCTGAAATCTTTCTGGCTGGGATAATATTTTAAGTTATGTTTTATTGAGTTTATGAGAGTAAGAAAAAATACAGCGCAGCATTCTTGCTGCTGTTCTGAGCTTTTGGATCCTGGTCCTGTTTGGAATTGGGCACACGGAGTATGCTGGCTGTCAGTCGGGCTCTGTTGTCATTAGGATTTGGGTTTGAGTGGCAGGAACATGTGACCGCTGTGCAAGGGGTTATTTTTGGTCTCTGGGTGTTGGCTTCTCCTCAGAAATTATAGCAAGTTACTGTGAGGTGCGTCTGTGGAGGCTTGGGACCAGCACGCCTGTCGTGTGCTTGTGAGCTCTCAAACATGGGCTGCTGCTTCAGCAGAGAACTAAGTAGTGACAATGACAGTGAAAAAACTGGCCTGTTACAAAAATCTGTGGAGGAAAAGGAACCAGAAAACAAGATAAGTAAAACTTTGTCTTCATTATTTGATACCGTCAAAGGTGAGGAGGTTCACCGTACTGGCAGTGGAGCCAGCAGTGTAGCTGGCGTTAGCGCGCGGACAAGGATTTTCGCAGGGTCTGGGCACAAACAGGGTCATAGACCCAAGCAGTCATTGAACCCTCTTTCCTCTTTTATATATACATTCTCAACAAGGTATGAAAACTTGGGTGAGAATGACAAGAATTCAGATATTGTTGTTAATGAGCAGAATTCTGAGGGGGTCTGTGATCTACTGTGTGTGGGTAACGGCAGCCGACAAGGTTGTTGGGAAGATGAGGAGCTTTTCTCATGTGTGCTGGTGCCTTCTGACCGAGGCCTGCAGGAGGAAGCCTTTGTGAGTGGCCATCTGCACTGTTACCCAGCTACTTGTAAAAACTCTTTAGTAGAGAAAGAAATGGTGGTCAGCGTTCACCTCAGCAGTGGTGATGAGAGTAAGTCTTTAGACCTATCCGATAGGGAGAGGAAAGATGGAAACCCTGTTGGTATTGATGATCAGCAATGTCAGGATTCAGGAGAGTGCAAGTTTCACAGCATTTGTGTTGCCGACTCTGCCTGCCCAAGCGTGGCAGAGGAGCTGGGCACCTGGGTAGACACAGTAGCTGCAAGAGGAGAGTGTTGCTCTTCAGTGCCTTCAGCCTCGCGTGCCATGTCAGGGGCGGGCGAGCCAGAGCCACGGCAGGAAGAACTCTCGCCTTGGGACACGCTGGGTCCAGGTGAAAGGACAGGGGAATGCAGTGGGAAAGCCAAGCCTTGCCCTGAGCCTGTGGCGTTCAGCCATGCACCTTGTGAAGCAAACACTGATAACGTGCAGATGGAGGCTTTACAGGCAGAAGCTTGCACTGAATTCCCTAAAAATTACGCAGAAAGTAGTGCACTACATGGTATTGACCTACTCCCTGAATTAAATAACAACATGGACAGTGACTCACTAAGTCATGCGTGTGTCCTGGGAGAAAGTGAGAGCTGTAACTCAGGAGTAGGAAGTGAGATGGATCATCCACCTGGTGGCTTCCGTACTGACACTGCACATTCACCTGGTAGCTTTTGTACTGACACTGCATGTGTTGCAGGGAGTGATGACCCGGAGGTGGTAACAGTTGTTGTCGACCAGAGTTTACATTCTAAAAAGGAGAGAGAAAATAACTCTATCACACCACTAAGAGACAACGATGATTTCTACTTGGACGTTAACAAAGCAGATAGTATCCTTCCTGTTGGTCTAGATAGAATTGATTTAAGTCCTAAGAGGCCTATCACTGCAGTAAGATTTGGAAGTGGGTGTCTCTCAGGTCACGCTAATTCAAGAGAAGCAGCCCCAAGCCAGCTTGATGACTGCTGGGAGCCGGAACCTGTCCCCAGACAAGTCAGGAAGGCACAGCGCAGAGGGGACTGCAGCCTGGAGGCCAGAAGTCCCCTGCTGCCAGACAGAGGTGAGGTGTCTCTGCAATCTGAAAATAGTGCCTTTTACCAAGAAGAGGACAGAATTGGCGTTTGGAAGGCTGAGGGTCATGGTGTAAGGGCTTTTGAGTCAAAATCTTGGTGTCAAGCAGATGAGGCTGCAACACAGACCTGTGACCAAACTTGTGTGGAGCGTGTGGTGGACACGCAGGGGACGGTGCAGAGGACAGATGGCCTAAAGCTTAGCATGGCACAAGGAGTGCCCCCCGATGGCAAGTCTCCCAGTCACTCCAGATCTCTTCACAGTAACTGTGTTTCCTCCGCATTTATTTTCACCTGCACAGAGGAAGAAGAGAGGGAAACAAGCCCAGGTGACAAAACAGAGGGTGAAATATGTGTGAAGAGTTCAGTCAGTGTGTCACGAGACCAGCTGAGTGACCCTCAAAGGTTAGAAGGTAGTGAAAAAGAATCACTGCAAGCAAAGTATAGTGAGACAAGTGAAGATGACATAGAGACTGTCAAGTCAGATTCTAAAACAACCTATGAGTGGGAAACAGGTACACAAAGACATGAGGCAGTGCCAAGTCAGGATGTACTCTCCTGTGTTAGTTCTAGTGCAACAGAGAACGCTGATTTTGAAACTAATCAAATAGAAAAAAGTTATGAAACACACCGAGTATACGACTGCAAATATAATGTTCTTAGTGTGTTACCACATTTCAGTCCAAGTGTTAATCCAGTTATACAGAAGTCAGAAATAGTAGAGAATTCTGTTAGTGGTGGTAAAAGCCCAAAATGGAAGGGAATTTCCTCTGAATCAATTGAAGAAGCTTCTGGTATCTTTGGTAATAATACATCAGGGTTGAGTAAACCAAAACTAACATGTAAAGAAGAGGAAGAGAGACTTTATTTGGAGAAAGATAGTATTGACCCCAGAATTACTGACTGCCTGGGTCCATGTGGGACGAGTGAACGTGCACACCATTTCAAAGAAGGAAACGCCAAGTCCACTCTTACACAGTCGACTTTAAATGGTGAAATGGGTTTTATGGGAAATGCTAAGGTGAGTTTTGAGAAAATAGAGTCACGTGACACTCCCAGTGGCAATTTCTTTCTGGTTGGTGTTGATCCCACCCTAGCGGACAGATACACAGGTGCCCCCTGCGATGCAGCGCAGGGGATTCCCGCTGTCCCCGTGGACAGCAAAGACACGATTGTACCAAGTAGTGGCCACATTTTATCACTCACAGAAGGTGTCCTAAATAGATGTGAACATCCCTCAAAAGTGGATTGGCAGAGTTTCCCAGAAGGAGTCTCCCGTTTTTTGAGTGAATTTTCCTATTACCCGATGGGAGGGTTAGGAAACCCAGCATTTTCTGAAAGACTGGCCAGTGGTTGTGGTGGATATCAAATGGGCTATCTCTGGACTAATACAGTCACAAAAGGTGCTCTAGAAGGTGAAACAATATTTAGTGAGGATCTGCACCATAAGCCACAGGCCTTGGAAATTGCTTTGTTTTCAGAAAACACTCCTCAGCTACCGGTGTCAGAGGACGGTGTTGTTTGGGGATGGCATGATAGAGACGGACAGTTCGTAAGTATGTTTTCTGTGTGTTTACTATTGTGCTGCGGTATGCTGGGCTATACATTTTAATTTATTATTATTATTATTATTATTATTATTATTATTATTATTATTATTTATTTTTTGAGACAGAGTCTCACTTTTGTCACCCAAGTTGCAGTGGCGTGATCTCAGCTCACTGCAACCTCCACCTCCCAAGTTCAAGTGATTGCCGGGTTCAAGTAATTCTCGTGACTCAGCCTCCCGAGTAATTGGGATTACAGGCATGTGCCACTACACCTGGCTAATTTTTGTATTTTTAGAGATGGGATTTCGCCATGTTGGCCAGGCCGGTTTTGAACTCCTGACCTCAGGAGATCCACCCGCCTCAGCCTCCCAAAGTGCTGGCATTGCAGGCATGAGCCACCGGGCTGGCCAATTTTAATTGTTTTTAACTTAAAATTAATAAAGATTTACTCTAAACAGTGGGTAGTTATTTGAATGCTTATATATGGCTGTGAATTACTATAACATTAATGATTTCCAAATTGGAGAATATGAATTCTTGTTTGGTGTACTTAAGCCAGAGGTTGTGTGCAAACTCTTGTTAGCACTAAAGCATGCCCTGAGCTCTGTGTTGACTTTTTTCTGTCTGTGAATTTTGCCAGCTCTTCTGTCTTCCTGGCCGCAGTGTTGTCAGAGCCCTTTGAGGGCATCTTATCTCGTGGGCAGTGTAGTTGATTCGATAAGCATGTGAGCCCATTGAAGGTATAAGTCACACTGCAGAAGACAAACTTACCTAAAAATCTGTGCTTCCTTATATCTTTGTATGTGTCTGAGGCAGGTAGAATTTGCTGCTTTTAACTGCCTATGAAATCTTGGTTCTGTCTTCTTGCAGTTAGAATTACTGTGGAGCTCTTTCTTTTTCAGAACCCCGAGATAAGGCTGTCCCTCTGGTTTGGAAGAAGCTTAGCAAATGACTCTATGGGCAGCTAATTTGAGCATCTTTCCAGAAATTCTGTAATAAATGTCAACATCATTCAACAACAGGAAATTAGTTTTCTTCCACAAAACAGACATTTATCGAAGCAGTGTGATTGAAAGCACATACTCAGAGTAGCAAGATCTCATTATTCAACCAGTGGTTTATTCATGATTTTTGTGGGCAATGAAGCAAGGAAAAGTATTGATATTAAGGAGGTAGAGATGGCTCAAATGTCAACACTTACTATATGGAAATAAACAAGTAGAAATCCCCTTCTGTAGTGTAAGGAATGATCCATCAACCTCTTTTATTTCCGTGCCCACACTGGGAGTTTTTCTGGAGAGAGTTATGTTCAAATTCATTAGTTTTGCTCCTTAAATAGTTGTGGAGGCAAAACAGTATAAAACTACATCTTTAAGATAATCTGCAGTTAATCTTTTACAGAAGTGACATAATTTTCAGTTAGTTACCAGTGTCACTGCCTCAGACATCAACAAAGAGCATAAATGATGCCTAAGTGAGAGGTGTGCTTCCAGTTTTAAATTAGCTTTTCCATTATGAGGTATTCCCAAACAGTATTCTCATACGAAGCGTTACCACGTTTAACGATGGTGCCTTGCCTTTCAGAGCTTCAATTTTCAAAGTGCTGTTACAGGTGTCTTTTTTTTTTTTTTTTTTTAAGCAAATCTTAATATAGCAGCTATTACTCCATTTCACAAAGAACTGGAGGTAGAGCCTTGTATGGTTCTGAAGTCAGCAAATTGCCCTGAATTACTAAGCTTTTTAGTGCATCTGTAGGAGTGGTTGGTGCTTGCATGGAATGTTTCTTTCCCCTATTTCTCACCTGCTTTCTGTACCTCACCGGCCAGTCCCCCTTCTCCAGCATTAATTACTCCAGTTCCTAGTCAGTAACTTGTCAGAGAGACTGTTCTGTCTCGTATCGGTAGTTATACAAGCTTATTAATTGATACGTTATTTTTCAAAGTGGAGCATATTGTTTCGCACAGGATGGGGTGGGGTGGAAGGGTTTATTTAAAGCATCAGAACTCAGGCATGTTCACTTTGGAATGTGGCTGTTAAGGTCAGCTTGCCTGTGGTTTTAATAACCATTGCTTAGCCATACATTTTTAATGGAAAAATAAGACTTATAGTCAAGCAGACGACACTGGAGTTTTTTTTTTTTTTTTTTTTTTTTCAAGGATGGAGTCTTGCTCTGTCACCCAGGCTGGAGGGCAGTGGTACTATCTCAGCTCACTGCAACCTCCGCCTCCTGAGTTCAAATGATTCTCCTGCCTCAGCCTCCCAAGTAGCTGGGATTACAGGTGTGTGCCACCACACCCAGCTAACTTTTGTATTTTCAGTAGAGACGGGGTTTCACCATGTTGGCCAGGCTGGACTTGAACTCCTGACCACAAGTGATCTGCCCATCTTGGCCTCCCAACATGCTGGGATCGCAGGCATAAGCCACCACACCCGGCCGACGCTGGAGTTCTTGATAACCATTTAGAGTTCCATATTACTGCAAGAGAATAACCATATTTTATAGAAATAGTAGGAGATTCAGATCTTTGTTTAATACAAACTATTTCTCATAAATTATAAGTTAATGAACTCTTGATGAGTGTTGAATTTTGCTGAACGCAATTGCTTAGAATCTAACTTTCTAATTACCATCGTTTTTATGGGGAAGTTACTCTACCTTTCTCTGCCTTGGTTTTTTCATTTGTGAAATGAGTCCAGTGAATAACGACCTCCAAGACTTGTTCTGATTCAGTACAAGGAAGTGCGTAGAATGTGCTCAGCACGTGGTAGATCCTTGAATGTCATTAAGCCTTAAAAGACATCTTCATTCTTTCATTCCTGGTGACATCTCTTCAGTCACAGCATTGATTGAACATTTCCTAACTGCATACACTTGATTTGGACTTCTTCACTAAGAGGTAGTCATTGGTTAAGGGTAGAGTCCTAGTCATTTGTGGCATAAAACCTTGCAGAAGTTGTCAAATAGTGGAAAATATAAATTTATGTTATTTATTAAACATTGATTCATTCCTCATATATCTTGAGCACCTCCCTACTGAATTCAGGACTGTGCTGGCTATCAGCAGTACTACAGTGAGGAAAATGCCCATGGTGACTGCCACCCTGGAATAGGAGGAACACGAGGGCCACGGGAGCCCCAACAGCCATGCTGTCACTGCTTTCAAAGTGCTGTTGGTCTGTATTAATAAACCACAAAATGTATTTTGGTACTATAGGACAGTCAACTGCAAAAGGTACTAATAATAGAGAAGGTTACTGTTAGTTAGTGTTGGGAATTTAAAGCACGTGTAGTATGTGCATGAGCTGAGGGGAGCCAGCTAAGTGGATGGAATGGAACCGAGGCTGGAAAACTGGATTGTGTGGTGGTGGTGAAAACAGACTGGGTCTAATTAGGAAAGGTGATGTATGGAAGTATTAGAGTGGGAAAGAGAATAGAGAAATGAATTTACAAAGACAACAGATCAGGTGGAGCGGCGTAAACGCTGCCAGAGGCAGTGTTGTGGGTGACCTGTGGCTGTCTCCTGCCCCCTCATGTAGCTCCATGAGCTCCTGTCTGCTTCCTTCACCATCACACCTGCCAGCTCAGTGCCGTGCCTGGCACAAGCATGCTGGTGAACATGTCAGAGGCACTTGTTGGACAGATGGGTGGATGAGAGAGAAGAGGGCAAGTAACACTATGCAGAAGCAGAGGCCAAAAATGAAGTTTAGATGCAATGCAAGAAGGAAAATTGAAGAATTGGTGCTTCTTGATTATAATATTCTTGAAGGAACCCAATAATTTGCCCTATCACCAGTACTTAAAACAAAAACTAAAAAGAATTCCAGATAGATACTCATTTAAACACCTGGTTTTATGGGCATGGTGCTCATTGGTGCTCCAGTGACTGGGGGAGCAGGAACGAACAAACCACATCAGCTGCCTTCTCTCAGTTTCAGAAATAGTTTCATGTTTTTTACTACCAGCCCCATCACCTGAGCCAATGTGGATTTATTCTGTCTTTTAAAAATTGTTAATGCACCCATCGTTTATTTGACGGCTCATGGTGGTCCTTTCCAGCCCTTCTCCTGTGTTCTGGGCCGCAGAAACTGGTGTGTCTATGCTGCATGCTGGGGTAGTGCAGTGTAACTGCTCCCAGCTTGCAGCCTGATTCCAAGGGGCACCGGGGACCAGGGACCTGTCCCTTCCTCCAGAAGCTTTGACTTCCTGCACTGTGGTGTGAAGGTGGGTGGCACATTTGAAAAGGCAAATCATGTGTAAGTTTGTTGAAGGATTGTGTGTTTGGACATTTGACTTTTCTTTAGGCTTTGGGGAGTGCTTGTGTAAGCATAAGAAAGGCTTGTATCAGAAAAATCAGGGGAGTAGGGAGTATCCACATGGTGGGGGACTTTTGTGGGTTTATTCGCTGTGTCAGGAAGGACCACCAGTCCCCAGTCTCTGGGCAGGATGTTCTGGACAGACGGACGGGAAGAGCAAAAGTGCCAGTGTGCCCAGAGACAGCAAGGAGGTCAGTGTGCCTGGAAATGGACAAGGCCAGGGAGCAGTGAGCACAGGAGGGCGCTGTGGCTGCAGTGGGAACTTCGTCTTTTACTCCAAATGAGCCAAGCTGATGCGGGAGGGTTTTGAGTAGAGGACTGCCCTGTGGGACTAACTGAGCATGCGTGACTGTCATGATGGCCGATGAGCTTGGTATGTGCCAGGCATCATGTTGTTGTGCTGTCTTCCAGGTGAGGTTTAGCCCATGTTCCACAGCTGTCCATGGCAGCTTTGGCCTCAGCCCCAGTGATCTGAGAGTCCGTTGTCCAGAACACTGGACTAGCAGCTTCATGGTCACCTGTGGATTTTCTTTCAAGGTGATACTGAAGCTCTATTGGGAATGGGAACAGGTAGTTCTGTGAAAAATATGAGATATTTTATCTTCTTCCTCAAAGGATGCCTGAGCTTTCTTATCCTGTAGTATCCCTGACAGACCTGTTAGAACACCTTCATTCTTAGGAGCAATTTTCATCTTCTACACCTTTTGTTTATGTGACTTTTTGAAGCTTTCTTTCTTTCTTTTGTTTTAGAGATGGAGTTCTGCTCTGTCCCCCAGGTTGGGTGCAGTGGTGCGATCTCAGCTTACTGCAACCCCCGCCTCCTGGGTTCAAGTGATTCTCCTGCCTCAGCCTCTCGAGTAGCTGGGATTACAGGCATGCGCCACCACGCCCGGCTAATTTTGTATTTTTAGTAGAGACAAGGTTTCTCCATGTTGGCCAAGCTGGTCATGAACTCCTGGCCTCAGGTGATCCGCCCGCCTTGGCCTCCCAAAGTGCTGGGATTACAGGTGTGAGCCGCCGCGCCCTGCTGACTTGTTTAAGCTTTCTAATTAGAATTTTATTCATCTGCCTTGTATTCAAGTTTGTAAAACCCTGAATTGTGATTTTATTAGGAGTCTAGGAAGTCACCAGCTATTCCTCAGGTATAGTTTGTGAAACACTGAATCTTTTGGTGGCAGGCGTGTCCTTCCCCATCTCTGCAAGCCTTGGTCTTGGGAGGAGGAACTTAAAACTTGGGGGGAATTTAATGGAATTCTGACTGCTTTTTTTTTTTTTTTAATTTTGAACCTGATTTCATTCCAAAGGTGTGTATAAATACATAGGCTGAGCCTTTGGAGCCTATATCTGATGTCTCTTAACTCTGCATTAATGAGTAAAATTGTATTTGGTTGACATTTGGATACAAATGTCTATCTTACATTTCTTCCTAGGTACCAGCAACTAAGGTTTCAGAGCTGAACCCTAATGCAGAAGTGTGGGGGGCTCCTGTGTTACATCTGGAAGCAAGCAGTGCTGCTGACGGTGTGAGTGCTGCATGGGAGGAGGTGGCTGGCCACCACGCAGACCGTGGCCCGCAGGGTAAGTTGAGCATGGCCGTGGTGTGCAGCCCCCTGCTTTCAGGCCTGTGCTTTTGTTGCCATTTTAATCTGTCTTTAAGATGTTGTTCATTCATAACTGTGTCATGGTATGTGGCAGTGCTTGAGAGCCCAGAGGTCTTTTACAGTCTAAAGAAGTTGAGTCACTGCAAGTGTAAGCTTTGTTTTAAGAGAAAGTTATGCTTCTAACCCTGCCTTTTTGGGGTAAACTCCTAATTGTAGGATCGGATGCCAATGGTGATGGTGACCAGGGCCATGAGAATGCCGCATTGCCAGACCCGCAGGAGTCGGACCCAGCAGACATGAACGCTCTCGCTCTGGGTCCCTCAGAATATGACTCTCTGCCTGAAAATAGCGAGACAGGTAAACATATCTTATGGGTGCATTTTCCCAGGGAATATGGGCTGCTTTATTTATTTTTTTTATTTAGAGTATTAACATTCTCTACACAATGGGTCTTTCTTTGCCTGCTTTTAATTCTACTTTAAACTCACCCTTATGTGGATGCAGAGAAGATGAGAGGCCCTGGTTAGGGAGGTGCCATGGAGGAATGTAAGGTCTCAAAAGATGAAACCTGGGCCGGGCGCGGGGGCTCACGCCTGTCATCCCAGCACTTCGGGAGGCCGAGGCGGGCAGATCACGAGGTCAGGAGATCAAGACCATCCTGGCTAACACGGTAAAACCCCGTCTCTACTAAAAAAAAAATACAAAAAAAATCAGCTGGGCGTGGTGGCGGGCGCCTGTAGTCCCAGCTATTTGGGAGGCTGAGGCAGGAGAATGGCGTGAACCTGGAGGCGGAGCTTGCAGTGAGCCGAGATCGTGCCACTGCACTCCAGCCTGGGCGACAGAGCGAGACTCCATCTCAAAAAAAAAAAAAAATGAAACCTATTTAGTAGTGCGAAGTGTCAGTAAAAGTGCAGAGGTGGAACGTTAATGTTGGATTTGAGAGTAAGACAGTTTGGGTAAAGGGAGGGGGATAGAGAGGGAATGCTGTGGTATTGTAGGTAGGGGCAATTGAGGCCCCATTTGCAAGTCTTAGAAGCCATTCACATTTGAACTTCTTTCCTGTTGATGAGGAAATGAGTGACATGAAGAAAATAAGTTGTTTGGGGAAGGTAAATTTTGCAGGAGTGTGAAAGAATGGCTTGGAGGAAAGCAAATGTAAGACCATCTGGATAGAATCTCTGTTGTTCTCATGTAGGGTTGTAAGTACCTTAGTATGTAGTAGTGGCTAAAAAACGGAAAGGAAGAGAGTAGGTGGGAAAGGAGATGTTCAGGCCCAGTTATGGAGTGTACCACACGTTACTGGAAATGCAGGAACTTTTTCATGTTTTCATTTTTTTTTTTTGAGACGGAGTCTCACTGTCACCCAGCCTGGAGTGCAGTGGTGAGACATCGGCTCACTGCAAGCTCCGCCTACTGAGTTCATGCCATTCTCCTACCTCAGCCTCCTGAGTAGCTGGGACTACAGGCGTCTGCCACCACGCCCGGCTAATTTTTTGTATTTTTAGTAAAGATGGGGTTTCACCATGTTAGCCAGGATGGTCTCGATCTCCTGACCTTGTGATCTGCCCGCCTCGGCCTCTCATGTTTTCATTTTTATTACCACAATTGTTCTTAACCAGTCCCTGTCCCCTCCCCCACCCCACTTGCCATGGGCTTTTCGTTATCCCAGTGACCAGGGAATGCACTGGGCAGGGCTGGAGAGGCCAGACCTCGATGCTGTAAGGCACAGCCATGCAGAATGACTTCATTGGCTTAAGACTGTCAAAGTCAGAAACTGTCACTTAAGAGGGAAAATGTGTAGATGTTCTGTGACGGTTGTTTTTTTTTTTTTTTTTTTTTTTTTAACTTCAGTGGAGCTTATTGCTTTAAATAATTGTTTGGTAAAATGAATCAAGTATTTATAAAGGTACAAAAATTAAGCCATGCTTGTTTCTTGTAAATATAAATTTGCCATCTTGAATTTGCATAAAGTGAATTTCCCGTCTACATGAGCAGTTTTCTAAATCTGAGGAAGGCCAGTATTCAGCAATGTAATTTGATTACATCCCCCTTGTTAATTCACCAGTAACTGGTTAGTGACTTGGGAATGGCAGAACATTGGGATAAACTGGAGTCATGTTAGAGTCCATTGAATTTAAGATGGCAAAGGAAAGGAATGCTCATCATTAAAACAGATTTTTACAAAAGATAAAAAGGCATTATACATTGAGGGAGTGAGAATCCTAATGGTAGGAAGTAAAATGGTTCAAAATAAACAATTTAAGTTTCAGACTAAATTGAAATGACCTAATCTTGAACTGGGGTCAGAATTTATACAGAAGATGGAAGATAGATAGGAGGTAGACAGATGTGAAGATCTGTCTTGAGGATGGAAGATGGGTAATGTTATCAACAGTGAAATAACTTGTGAAAATCTGCCTGAAGACAGGAGATAGATAACGTTACCAAAAGTGAAATAACATGTTAAAATCTATCTGAAGATAGAAGATAGGGAACATTATCAAAAGTGAAATAACAACATGTTAAAGTATATTCTGGAAAGTTTAATTTCAAAAGGTGATTCTTTTTAAAAGGGGTATTTAAAACTATTTTCAAAAAGAAGAAAAAGAATACCTTCTGCTTTGTCTTCCTCCTTCATCTGCCTCCACCTACTCCCTCTCTCACTCCTATAAAGCATTAGTGAGGCATAACCGATGTACAATAAACATCATATACTTCAGGTATACCCCAGATTTTCTGTAGCTTACAGACAATTGAGGAAATAATACATTATTAATGTGTTGCCTCTTTCATTCCTCTTTGCTTTGTCCACCCAGTTTGATAAGTTGTTCTGTACCTGTAAAATCCTCAGCACAATCAAGATCACGAACATCCCAAACACCAGGAAGAGCTTCCTGTGCCCTCTCCTTTCTCCGTGGAACCGGTGGTCTGTTTTTTTCTTTTTGAGATGGAGTCTTGCTGTGTCACCCAGGCTGGAATGCAGTGGCGTGATCTCGGCTCACTGCAACCTCCGCCTCCCGGGTTCACGCCATTCTCCTGCCTCAGCCTCCCCAGTAGCTGGGACTACAGGTGCCCACCACCACACCCGGCTAATTGTTTGTATTTTTAGTAGAGACGGGGTTTCACCGTGTTAGCCAGGATGGTCTTGATCTCCCGACCTCATGACCCGCCCACCTCGGCCTCCCAAAGTGCTGGGATTACAGGTGTAAGCCTTCATGCCCGGCCCAGTGGTCTGTTTTCTATCACTATATGTCAGTTTGCGTTTCGTAGATTTTTTTTCTCTTTAAAAAAAAAGATGGAACTCCTGGGCCCAAGAGATGTGCATCAGCCCCACAAGTTGCTGGACAACAGACGTGTGATAGAATTTGACAGTGTGTACTGTTTTTGTCTGACTTAGGTTACTATTTTTGAGACTGATTCATGTTGTAACATGAATTAATCATTTATTTTTATTGCTGAGAAGTATTCATGATATGGATAGATCACAGTTTGTTTTTCTATTCCCCTATTCATGGATTTTGGGATTGTTTTCAAAATGTGGCTTTGCCAATAAAAAGTGTTCATAAAAGTGAACATTTGTCAGCAAGATTTCATATAAACATATGTTTTCATTTCTCTTGGGTAAAATACCTAGGAATGGAGTAGCTGGATCATCTGGTAGGCATGTTTATCCTTTTAAGAAATGGTAAGGCAGTTTTCCAAAGTGGTGGTACCATTTTCTATTCTCAACCAGTGGTGGATTAAAGCACCACATCCTTATGACCCTTATGACCTCAGGGTCAGTCTTTAATTTTAGCTGCTGTAAAAGGGAGACAGTAGAATCTTACTGTGGCTTTAATTTATGTTTCCCTAAGGACTAATGCTATCAAACATCCTTTTTAAAAAAAAGACTGTTTTTTTTAGAGCACTTTCAGGTTCACAGCGAGTTTTAGTGGAAGGTATAGAGATCTCCCATATACTCCCCTCCCCCCCACCCCCACACATGCATGGCCTTCTTCACTATTCACACTCCCTCACCAGAGGGTGCCTTTGTATAATTGATGATCCTATATTGGCACATCATTATTACCTGGAGTCTACAGTTTACATGAGGGCTCACTCTTGGTGTTGTACGTTCTGTGGGTTTGGAGAAATGTATAATGACATGTACCCTCCATTGTAGCATCAGAGAGAGTAGTTTCCCTGCCCTAAAAGTCATCTGTGTTCTGCCTACTCACCCCTCCCTCCCCCCAACCCCTAGCATCCATTGGTTTTTTCACTGTCTCCATAGTTTTACCTTTTCCAGAATGTCATAGGGTTGGAATCCTGCAGGATGTAGCCTTCTTAGATAGGTTTCTTTCATTTAGTAACGTACATTTAAGCTTCCTCCATGTCTTCAAGGCTTGATAACTCATTTCTTTTTAGCACTGAATAACATTCCATTGTCTGGACATACTACAAATTACTTAGTCATTCACCTACTGAAGGACATCTTGGTTGTTTCCAGGTTTTGGCAATTACAAATAAAGATGCTGTTAGCATTCATGTGCAGGTTTTTGTACGGAAGGAAGTTTTTAACTCCTTTGGGTAAATACCCAGGAGTGTGATTGCTGGATCATAAGGTCAGAGTATGTTTAGTTCTGTAGAAAGCTGCTGAACTGCCTTCCAGAAGTAGAATTTCTGGATCATATGGTAATTCTTATGTTTAACTTTTTTTGGTGGAATCACCATACAGTTTTCCATACAGGCCATAGTATTTTACATTCCCACCATCAGTGTACAAGGGTTCCAGTTTTATTAAATCCTTGCCAATACTTGTTATTTTCTGATTTTTTTTTTTTTTTGAAATGGAATAATTCTGTTGCCCAGGCTGGAGTGCACTGGAGCAATCTCAGCTCACTACAACGTCCACCTCCCGGGTTCAAGCAATTCTCCTGCCTCAGCCTCCCAAGTAGCCTAGATTACAGGTGTGAGCCACCACGCCCAGCTAAATTTTGTATTTTTAGTAGATACGGGGTTTCACCATGTTGGCCAGTCTGGTCTCAAACTCCTGACCTCTGCCCATCTCAGCCTCCCAAAGTGCTGGGATTACAGGCGTGAGCCACCACACCCAGCTAACTTTTGTATTTTTTGTAGAGACAGGGTTCAACCATGTTGTCCAGGCTGGGTTCGAACTCCTGACCTCAGGTGATCTGTCTGCCTCGGCCTGCCAAAGTGCTGTGATTACAGGCATGAGCCACTGCGCCCAGCCTATTTTCTGATTTTTTTGATAGTAGTCATTCTAGTGGGTATATCTTTGTAGTTTTGGCTTGCATTTCCCTAATGGTTAGTGATGCCAAGCACCCTTTTTGTTCTTATTGGCCATTTGTCTTCTTTGGATAAATGTCTATTCAAATCCTTTGCCTATTTTTGAATCAGGTTTTTGTTAATGTCTTTAGGAGTTCTCAATATATTCTGTGTATTAATCCCTGATCAGATACATCAATCACAATTATTTTCTTCCATTATATGGGTTGCCTTTTTATTTTATTCAAAGTGTCTTTTGATGTACAAAATTTAAAATGTTCATAATGTTCAGTTTGTTTATTTTTTGTTGGGCTGCCTATGCCTTTGGTGTCATATCTAAGATAACATTGTTGAATTTATTATAATGAAGGTTTTGTCTGTGTTTTCGTCTGAGTTTTATCATTTCGGGTCTTACATTTAGATCTTTGATCATTTTGAGTTAATTTTTGTATATGGTATAAAGTATGGATCCAACTTTGTTTTTGCATGTGGATATCCAGTTGTCCTTGCACTATTTATTGAAAAGACTGCCCTTTCTCTATAGAACGATCGTGGCACGCCTGTTAAAAAAAACAATTGGCCATGTATGCAAGGATTTCTTTCTCGGCCCTCTCTTCTGTTGCATTGGGCTGTGTGTCTAATAGGCCACCGCAGGGAAAGCCTGGAATTTTAACTGTGGGCCTACAAGAATATAGAGGAGCCCTCATTGTTAACCAACAGGGGGATCCAAAGTAGGAGTTTAAGCTTAAAAAATTTTTAATTTTGTTTCAGGTCAGATTTTTGCTCTTTAATTTTAAAGAGAATTTTTAAGGCTAACCATAGCATTGTTGGGTCTTTCTAGAAATTGGCTTGCATTTCCTAGTGGTTAGTGATGCCAAGCACCCTTTTTGCTCTTGATGTTTTTATCAGTTGTTTAGGATGAGATTTCTAAAATCCTTTTTTAAATTTACAATTCTAATTTAAAGGATCCATCTTTTGGCCATTGACATTTAGAATTTTCAGTGGTGTATAAAGTCCAGGATAGATCCTGGAGAGGACATAGAAGAAGCAATTCCAAAGATACCTCCCACAAAACATTTACTGTCAGGAATGAGCTCAATCAGCAAAGACTCTTGTTGACACAGACTAACCAGGCAGCAGGAGTTGAGATGACAAAAGCCCCTTACACGTGGGACCTCTTATTAAGACAAACTCCCGAGCGCTTGACGTATGCAGAACAAAAAGTCTTGGGTTCCTGTCTTCAGACCGGCCACCCGACCTGATCCGAAAATCGTACCTCCCCCAATGGTGGAGACCAAAGAGTGCTCCCACTTGGTCACAGTTCAAGCTCTCAAGGACATAAAACAAGACCCAAAAAACTTTTGTTTCTGAGGCCTTCATTTTGGGGTATTGTTTTCTGAGTGCCAGCAGAGGTTTCTGTTGATAGATCCTCATCCATGTCCAGTCTCCTAATAGCCCATCAAAGGCAGTCTGCATTTCTGTTACAGTAGTTTTCATCTCTCACAGTTTTTTTCCCCCTCCTTGGGATTTCCATCTCTCTGCTTGCATTGCCCACCTGTTCTTACCTGCTGTCTCCTTTATCCATTTGAGCCCTTAGCATCTTATCCTAGTTCTTTTAAATTCCCTGTCTCATAATTCTGACATCTCTGTCATGCCTGGTTCTAATGCTTGCTCTGCTCTTGACATTGTGTTTTTGGCCTTTGTGTATGCCTTGTAACTTTCTTGAGAGCCAGCTGTGACGTGCTGGGTGGAAGGCACTGTGGTGACTATGCCTTCAGTGCTGTGGGGTGAGGTGTGGGCAGGGGACGCCTTCCATAAGAGGCCTGGGAGTCTCAAGTCTGTAGTGAGCCCGGGCCCTGGACTGTGAAGCTCACAGGAGCTTCTCTTCTTTCCTCCCCTCTTAGGTGGGGCAGCATGACCAGAGGAGGCAGGAGCTAGGTGTTTCCCTTCCTCTAGGTATGTTCTGCTCTGATTAAACCCCAGCAAGTTGGACTGTGGTTAAACTGTCTTTCCTGAGGGCAGACCTTGTTAAGAAGAACAGAGTGCTCTGGTATTTTTCAAAACGGTTACTTTTCTCCTACTCGTGCCGGAAGCACAAAGGGATTTTTCTCTAGTATTCCCTGTGAGGACCTGATCGAGCTCCAGAAAGTATAAGTCACAAAAGTGCAGGAACCCCTCACCCGCCAATGACTGAGACTCCCTGCAGTTTTTAACTCTCAGACTTGGCCACCCTGAGCCTCCAGCAGTTAATCAGTTCCAGGACAGTGTTTTCTGTCCTCGCCTTGGTTCCTGCAAAGGTTTCTGCTCCATATGTTGTGATCGCTTCTCTATTTATCTGTCTGTCTGTCCAATTTGGCAGCAGTTGTTTGCCTTGTGACTTTACGTAGGATCTAAGAAGAGTTGTTAATTGTTCTTTTTAGATTTTTTACTTGTCAGACCAGAGTGATAACTTGCAGGCTTCTCACATGCAGAACCTGAAGTTGCAGCATTTTTTTGTAATGCATATATCTTATTTGGTGTTGTGCCTGTTTGTGCATTTTCTTATTGGGTTGTTTTATTACTCACTTTTGATAGTTATTTATATGTTTTGGATATAAGTCCAGATACGCAATGTACTTTGTTCTCCCAAGAGTATTTTTGAAAAGCAGTTTAAAATTTCTTGTGTAATCAAGTTTATCATTTTTTTCTTTTATGGCTCTTCCTTTTGGTTTATATTCCTCCTATAAGTTTAATTGCTTTAGATTTTACATTTCTAGGTCCATTTTAGGTTAGTTTTTGTATAAGGTATGAAATATGGATCAAAGTTATTTTCATTTTGTGCATAGGAATCTGCAGCTATTGCAGCACTGTTTGTTGAAAGACTTCTCTCTGCTGCGTTGCCTTTGCACCTTTCTCAGAAGTCGTTTGTCCACGTAGGTCTGGATTTATTTTTGGACTGTCTGTTCTGTTCATTGATGCGCTAGCCCGCTTTGACTCCAGTAGTGCACTGCTTGGATTGTCAGCAGAGCTTGCTTCATTGTGCTACTCTTCATTGTGCTTTGCAGCTACCACCTTCTTTATAAATTGAAGTTTTGTGGCAACCCTGCATCAAGCAAGTAATTGGCACCATTTTTCCAATAGCATGTATTCATTTCATGTCTCTGTGTCACATTTTCATAATTCTCACAATATTTTAAGCCTTTTCATTATTATTAATGCTAGTGGTGATCGATGATCTTTGGTGTTTTGTACTACTGCCATTGTTTTGGGGTGCCAGGAGCCACACCATTTAAGGTGGCAAACTTAATATATAAATGACGTGTGTGTTCTGACTGCTCCACTAACTGGCTCTTCCCTTGTCTCTCTCTCTCTTTGCTTGGGCCTTCCTATTCCCTGAGACATGACAGTATTGAAATTAGGCCAATTAATAGCCCTACATTCCCTCTTCTGAGGGTTCCAGTGAAAGGAAGAGTTTTACTTATCTCACTTTTAATCAAAAACTAGAAGTGATTAAGCTTAGTAAGCAAGGAATGTCAAAGGCTGAGATAGGCTGAAAACTCGGTCTCTGGAGCCAAACAGTTAACCAAGCTGTAAATGCAAAGGAAAAGTTATTGAAGGAAATTAAGTGCCCCTCCAGTGAACCCAGAAATGATAAGAAAGCAAAACAGCCTTCTTGCTGAGATGGAGAAACTTTGATCTGGATAGAAAAACCAGTCACAACAATTATTCCCTTAAGCCAAAGTCTAATCCAGAGCAAGACCTTAACTCTCTTAAGTTCTGTGAAGGCTGAGAGGTGAGGAAGCTGCAGAAGAAAAGTTTGAAGCTCACAGAGGTTATTTCATGAAGTTAAAGAAAAGAAGCAGTCTCCATAACATAAAAATGCAAGGTGAAACAGCAAGTTATCCAGAAGATCTGGGTAAGATAATTGATGAAGATGGCTACAGTAAATGACAGATTTTCAATCGAGACAAAATAGCCTTATATTAGAAGGAAATGTTATCTAGGACTTTCATAGCTAAAGAGAAGAAGTTAATCCTGGTTTCAACATTAGAAACCAACTCTCTTGTTGGGGCTAATGGAGCTGGTGACGTTAACTTGAAGCCAGTGCTCATTTCCCATTCTGAAAATCCTAGGGCCCATAAGAATGATGCTAAATTTGCTCTCCCTGTGTTCTTTAAGTGGAACAACAAAGCCTGGATGACAGGACATCTGTTTACATCATGGTTTACTGAATATTTTAAGCTTACTGTTTAGACCTACTGCTCAGGAAAAAAAAAAACAAAGATATTTTTCAGATTTTAATTTCTCATTGAAAATGTACCTAGTTACCCAAGAGCTCTGACAGGTGTACAAGGAGATGAATGTTGATTTCATGGCTGCTAACACAACATCCATTCGGTAGCCTATGGATCAAGGAGTCATTGTGTTTTCAAATTTTCTTATTTAAAAAATACATTTCATAAGGCTCTAGCTGTATAGATCATGGTTCCTCTGATGGATTCTGGAAAGGATTCACCATTCTAGATGCTGTTAAGAACATTTGTGATTCGTGAGGGAAGGCCAAAATGTCAACATTAACCAGAGGCGTTGATTCCAGCCCTCACGGAGGACATTGAGGGGTTCATGACCAGTGGAGAAAGTCACTGCAGAGGTAGTAGAAATAGGAAGAGAACTGGAATCAGAAGTACAGCCTGAAAATATGACTGAATTGCTGCAATCTCATGTACAACTTGAATGTGTAAAACTTGCTTCTTATGGATGAGCAAAGAAAATGGTTTCTTGAGTTAGAATGTATTCCTGGTGAAGACGCTGTGAATATTGTTGAAATGACAACAAAGGATTTAGAATATTCCATAAACCTAGCTGATAAAGCAGCAGCAGGGTTTGAGAGGATTGACTAATTTTGAAAGAAGTCCCACTGTTGACAAAATGATATCAAACAGCATCACACGCTGCAGAGAAATCTTTGGTGAAAGCAAGAGTCCGTCCACGTGATATACTTCGCTGTTGTCTTAAGAAATTGCCGCAGCCACCCAAGTTTTCAGCAGCCACCATCCTGAACAGTCAGCCCTCATCATCAAGGCAGGACCAGCAAAAAAGATTATTATTTGCTGAAGGCTCAGATGATCGTTAACATTTTCCAACAATAGATTCTTTTTATTTATTTTTTTCCAGACATAATCTCACTCCGTCACTTAGGCTGGAGTGCAGTGGCATGATCACAGCTCATTGCAGCCTCTGCCTCCAGGGTTCAAGTGATTCTTGTGCCTCAGCCTCCCAAGTAGCTGGGACTACAGGCATGTGCCACCATGCCCAGCTAATTTTTGTATTTTTATTAGAGACAGGGTTTTGCCATGTTAGCCAGGCTGGTCTTGAACTCCTGACCCCAGGTGTTCCACTTGCCTCGGCCTCCCAAAGTGCTGGGATTGCAGGCCTGAGCCAGCATGCCCAGCCAGCAATAGAGTATGTTTAAATGAAGGTATTGTAGTTTTTTTTTTAAGGACATACTGCTATCTCACATTAAATATACAACAGTTTAGTGTACTCATAATTTTTATATTCACTGGGAAAACAGAACTTTGTGTGACTTGCTTTATTGCAATATTTGCTTGATTGCAGCACTCTGGAACTGAACCCATGATATCTCTGAGGTATGCCTGTACTGTTAATAATTCTTGAAATTAGGTAGTGATAGCCTTCCAACTCTGTTTTTCATAGTTACTTTTTAAATTCCAGTTCCTGTGTATTTCCATGCAAATTAGAATGAGGTTGTTAATATCTACAAAGTGCTGAGATTTTTGTTGGGGGGTTCACTGAATCTATAGATCAGTTGGAGAACATTGACATCTGAACAATATCCATGAACAAGATGTATCTCTTACTTGTTTAGATCTTTAATTTCTCTCAGAAGTATTTTTTGGTTTTCAGTGTACTGGTCTTTTACATCTTTTATCCAGTTTATAAGTATTTTATATTTTTTGGTGCTATTGTAAGTGATTTTTAAAATTTGTATTTGCAGTTGTTTGTTACTAGTATATCAAAGCATTCATTTTTATGTATTGAGTCCAAACCCAGAAATTTTGTTATGCTCACTTATTAGTTTTAGACACTTTTTTGTAGATTACATTGGATTTTCTACATAGATGATTGGATTATTTTAGAATGAAGACTGTTTTACTTTCTCTCCAATCTTGATGCCTTTTATTTCTTTATCCTGCCCCGTTGTACTAGATAGGCCCTCCAGTACAAAGGTGAACAGAAGTGGAAAGAATGAACAAACGTTTGGGTTGTCTCTGGTCTTACAAGAGGCACTCAGTATTTCACCATGAAGTATAACGTTAGTGGTGGTTTTAGGTCTGTGCCCTTTATATGTTGATGAGGCACTCTTCTTTTCCTGGTTTGCTGAGAGATTTTTATGAGGAATGAATATTGTAATTTGTCATCTATGGAGATGGGCATATATTTGTTGTTTTTTAGTGTGTTCGGATGAATTGTATTAATTGTTTTTCAAATGTGATACCAACATTTGTGGTCTAAACCTCTGTAGATCATGATACAGTATACTTTGGATATACTACTGGATTCCATTTACCAAAACTTTGCTTAGAATTTTTACACCTGGGATCTTGGTTTCTAGTTTTCATTTCAGTGTTTTTCTTTCTATTTAAGTTTTTGGAAGAGGTTACGTATTATTTCACCCTCATATGAGGAAGTGAAACAAGTCATGTGGGCAGGAGTTTTCCTTTTTTCTTCTTTCCTTTCTTACTTACTAAACTTACTTAGTTTAGTTGCTCACAGAGTCTTGCTCTGCCACCCAGGCTTGAGTGCAGTAGCATCATCATGGCTCACTCAGTCCCAACCTCCCGGTCTCAGGCGATTCTCCCGCCTTAGCCTCCCAAGTAGCTGGGACTACAGTAGCACACCACCACGCCTGGCTTATTTTTGTATTTTCTGTAGAGATGGAGTTTCACCATGTTACCCAGGCTGGTCTCCAAACTCCTGAGCTCAAGCGATCCGCTCACCTCAGCCTCTCTAGATGCTGAGATTACAAGCATGAGCCACTGCGTCCCACCTGGGCAGGAGTTTTATTTGTGGGAAAGCTTTCAACTACAGTTTATTTTTTCATAGTGCTACTCATTTATTTCTTCTTGAGGGAGCTTTGGTTTATATAGTTACAAAGATTTGGTCTATTTCATCTGAGTTGTGGGATTTACAGCACAGAGTTGTTCATAATACTCTGTTATCACCTGTGAAATCTGTAGTCATGTTACATCACTCATCTCTGTTATTGGTAATTTGTGTCTTCTTTATAATCCCAATCAGTCTGGGTAGAGGTTTGTTAGTTTTATTGACCTTATCAAAAGGTGTTTTCTGTTGGGCATGGTGGTTCACACCTGTAATCCCAGCACTTTGAGAGGCCGAGGCGGGCAGATCACGTGAGGTCAAGAGTTCAAGACCAGCCTGGTCAACATAGTGAAACGCCATCTCTACTAAAAATACAAAAATTAGCCGCCTGTGGTGGCGGGCGCCTGTGGTCCCAGCTCCTCGGGAGGCTGAGGCAGGAGAACTGCTTGAACCCAGGAAACGTAGGTTGCAGTGAGCCAGGATCGCACCATTGCACTCCAGCATGGGGGACAGAGCGAAACTCCATCTCAAAAAAAAAAAAAAAAAAAAAGTTAGTGTTTTCATTTTATCGATTTTTCTCATTTGTTTTACTCTTTCCTATTTCATTCTTTCTTCTGATGTTTGTAATATACTCTCTTACGATTTCTTTGGGTTTAATTTACCCTTTCTTCTGTGTCCTAAGGTGGAAGCAGAGCTCATTAATATGAGGCCTTTCTTATTTTCTGATATAGTCATTTAGTTTTACTATTTTCCCCATAAGTAGTGCTTAAGCAGAATCTCTCAAATTTAGATGCATTGTTTTCATTTTCAGTTACTTCCAAATACTGTATTTCTTTTTTGATTTTTTTTCTTTGACTCATAGATAATTTAGAGATATTTGATTTAGTTTACAAATATTTGGGGGTTTTCCAGGGATCTTTCTTTTATTAATTTCTAGTTTAATTTCATTGTGGTCAAAGAACATACTTTGTATGACTTGAATTTCTTTAAATATATTAAGTCTTATTTTATGGCTTCAAATATGGGCTGTCTTGTTAAATATTCCATTTGTCCTTGAGAAGAATATGTGTTTTGCTGTTGCTATGGGGAATATTTTGTCAGTGTTAATGAGGTCAAGTTGAGTGGTAGTGTTCAAGATTAATGTACTCTTTCTGATTTCTGTCTACTTGTTCTGTCAACTATTGAAAGAAAGGTTCTGTTAATTTTTGCATTTGTCTGTTTATCCTTTTAGTTTTATCAGTTTTTGCTTCACGTATTTTGAAGACTTTTTTGTGGCCTCTTGATTCATTGACCCCTCTCTTTATCTTTAGTAATAGTCTTTGCTCTCAATTTACTTTGTCTCACATTAATGTAATCACTCCAGGTTTCTTTTGACTAGCCTTAATATGGTATATCTTATATCCTTTTTACTTTAAGCTATTTGTGTATTTAATAAAGTGCATTTGTTGTAGATAACATAACATTTGGGTTTTGCTTTTTTGTCTTCTATTTAGAACGTTAACATTTAGTGTGGTAATTGCTTTGGTTAGGTTTAGGTCTCTCATCTTGCTATTTGTTTTAGAATAGTTTTAGACTTAGAAAAATTGAGATGATTGAACACACAGAATTCCCATATACCTGGCACCCAGTTTTTCCTATTACCGACATCTTGCATTAATATGGTACATTTGTCCCAATCACTGAACCAGTAGTGATACATCGTAACCTAACGTCCTTTTTCTGTTGCGGGATCTCAGCTGAGAACCACATTATATTTCATTGTTACGTCTCCTTAGGCTCCTCTTGGCTGTAACAGTTTCCCAGGCTTTCCTTGTTTGTGGTAGTTTTGATATAATAGTTCTGAAGAGTACTAGTCAAGTATTTTGTAACAACATTCTCTTCTATTAGAATTTGATGTTTTCCTCATTATGATACTATAGTGGTAATGGGTTTGAGAAGGTAAAACACCACTTTTATCACATATATCAAGGGTGCACATTGTCAACGTGACTTACCACTGTTGGTGTTGATCTTGATCACCTGGCTGTTTACTGGGTTTCTCACTATGAAGTTACCCTTTCCCTCCCCATTTCCATGTTGTACTGTTTGGAAGGAAGTCGCTGCGTACAGCCCACACTTAAGGAGTTGGGGATTTATGGTCCCCCTCCATGAGGACACGAATCTTCGTAAATTATTTAAAATTCTTATGTATGGGAGATTTGTCTCTTCTCCTTTATTTATTTACTTATTCAACTCTTTATAGCAGTGTGGATTCCAGAATGTTTGTTTTATACTTTTGGTTATAATCCAGTACTGCTTTATTTTGTTGCTCAAATTGTTCTTCTAGCTTTGGCCATCAGGAGTTCTGGTCGGCTCCCTTTGACATGCCCCATCAACATAGGGTTTTTTTGTGGTTATTTTGTTTTGTTTTGTTTCTCCTTGCTTCAGCCTTAGAATCAGCCATTTCTCCAAGGAGCGCTGGGTCCTTCATTGGACAGTGATATCAGAAACCAAGATTGAGTGCTAGACGTGTTCTGTTTCTTTTTGTCCCATGTGTTCTTCGTTCCTCTTTCCCTTTTTTTCTGTTTTCCTTTGGAGCAGCCTTCTTCTTTGTTTCGCTGTTTTAATGATTTCTTTGCGTTTTGCTCCACTTCCTCCGGCTAACACAGTCTACCTTGAGGTGGCTGCGTGCTGCTTCACATAGAGCACAGCATCAGGGCAGTCTGCCGCCGTTTCTCTCGTGGCCCGGATGCTTTGGTCATCATGCCTTTTGCAGTTACTTATGCTATAAACTGACAATATATGTTTTTATTTTTATTTAAAAGTCAGTTATTTTTAAAAGAGATTGAAACTGTAACAAGCAAAACAGCATACGTGTTTGTCCATGTCATGGCGGTTTCTGGTGCTCTCTACTCCTGTGTGTAGATTTTCTCTGTGTTGAGGGCTGACTATACCAGGGTCTGCTGTTACACTTGAGCTCAGCTGCTCGATGTTGTCCGCAGCTTGCTGATCCTCTCAGCTGGTTGTGCTTCTCATTTTTCTGTTTGATTTTGGGAAGCTTCTGTTACTGTGTCTTCAGGTTCCCGAGTCTGCTGTAATGTTTACCCTGTTGTTAATCTCATCAAGTATTTTTAATATCAGACATTGGAGTTTTCATCTCTATAAGTTTTTTCTTTTTTTTTTTTAATAACTTTTATGTCCTTACCTGACTTCGTGAACATATGGAATACAGTTATGATAACTTTTAACATCCTTTTCAGTTAATTTTAACATCTGTGTCAGTTCTGGATTGGCTTCTGTTGGTTGATACTTCTCATTGTCATGGGTCATATCTTCCTGCTTCTTTCTTTGCATGCATGGTAATTTTTGGTTAGATTGAGTTTTACTGTATTCAGGGCTTAGTATTTTTGTATTTCTTTAAATATTTGATATTTGTTCTGGGATGCAGCCAGGTTTCTTGGAAACAGTGTGATCCTTTCATATCTTGTTTTTAAGATGTTAGGTGTGAGTGGGACGGTGCTGTGTGGGGCCTGTTCCTATCACCGAGGCAGGGCTCCGGGAATCACAAGAGTTTCTGGTGGGGAGGGTTAACCATTTCAGGCTCTGCACGTGAATGACATATATTGTTATACTTCTGATCCCCTCAGGTGGTTCTTCCACGAGCCTTGGGTAGTTTCATCACATCCGTGCTTTGCAAAGAACCTGGCTGACAACGTGATGGGTCCTGGGCCCTGTGGTTCTCTGGAGCTCCTCCTGCTGTCTGGCCTATGCAATCAGCCTCCCTATCTCCTGCATTCTCTTTTTCTCTTCCACACAGCCATACACTGGGTTCCCACCTGACTTCCCACTCCCTGGGCACAGCCTGGGACTTCCCTCAGGGCAGTGGGCTGGACTTGTGGGGGTTACTTTAATGTCTCATGTCAAGCTGGGCACGGTGGCTCACGCCTGGAATCCCAGCACTTTGGGAGGCTGAGGTGGGCAGATCACGAGGGCAGGAGTTCGAGACCAGCCTGACCAACATGGTGAAACCCTGTCTCTACTAAAAATACCAAAAAAAATTAGCTGGGCCTGGTGGTGTGCGCCTGTAATCCCCGCTACTCAGGAGGCTGAGGTAGGAGAATCACTTGAACCCGGGAGGTGGAGGTTGCAGTGAGCCAAGGTTGCAAGATCGCGCTACTGCACTCCAGTCTGGGTGACAGAGCAAGGCTCCGTCTCAAAAAAAAAAAAGAAAAAAGTTTCATGTCACATAGGAATCTATGTCCTTTGTTGCTCTATGTCCCACATCTGGAAAACTGTCATTTCATCTGTCTTATTTGGTTTCTTGGTGGTTTTAAAGGGAAAGTTAACCTAGCCCCTGTGACTCCATCTACCTGGAGGCAGATGGCCTGTGTCTTACCAACACCATGTGCCCAACCTCCAGTCTCCCTGAGAGCCCGTCTCACTTGTCATTGTCTTTGCTCCTCAGTGTCCTCTGTCTGCAGTGCCGGGTGTTTCTTGCATGGTTGGGTCACTCCCCATCTTTCTAAGGTGGTATTATCTCTCATCTTAGGTGAAGCCACCCCGGGCAGCCCATCTTCCACTGTAGAACACTTCAGCTGTCTGCTTGCTGTCCCATCTCCTTGCTTCCATTCCCTCTTGAGTGCAGTCCAGGTCTCCTTGCTTCCATTCCCTCTTGAGTCCAGTCCAGGTAGACAGTTGTCCTAAGCAGCATTTGTCGAGCTCTTTAATGACCCTGGTGCAGCCAGATCTAGTAGTTAGTTTCAACTTCTTAACTTACCTGGCTCTACTGTGTCATGTTATAGTGGATGATTCTCTTGGCTCCTAACTTCACAGTATCCTAGTGGTCTTCCCACCTTGCTGGCTGTGAGCCTGTGTCCCTTGGCCCTCATGCGCTTGCCTCCTGCTGAAGGTGGGAGTGTCCCGGGTTCAGTCCTGGGCTGCTTTTCTTCCTTCCCTTGTGGCTTCGGCACCACCTATCGCTTGGAGAGTCCTCCCTAGTGCCCTGTCCTCAGTGATTGCATTATCTTCCGGCTGGTGCCTGCACAGTCTGTCTACACCATGGAACCAGAGAGATATTTTCAAAATGTCAGCCTTGAATTGATTTTCTATTACGTTTAGGTTACTTTAACGTCCTCCTTGATCTCACTCACACACACCGGCCTCTGTGACCTCATTTCTTACTGTGTCTGTCACCCCTCTTCTCAGCTGTGCTGGCCTCCTACTGCTGGACTCTACCCCTTGAGAGGCCCCACCTTGGGACCCCTGTGCTTGAGGCTCCCCATTTAGAACACACTTCCCACCTTCCTGTGTGCCCCACCCCTCCTCTATCAGATCATATGGCACTTCCTGTCTGGATGGCACCAGGCCTTGCTGCCCCTCATCCTGGGTTGTTTCCTCAGTGTCCGTTTCTCTCTGACATGATGTGTATAGTTACTGGTTAACTGTCTGTTATCTGCCTCTCCCACCAGAGTGTTGGCTTCACGAGAGCACAGGCTTTGCGTTATTCAGGCTGAATTCACAGAGCCTGCAGTAGTGCCTGGCACTTGGAAATATTTAGTAAATACCTATTAAACATGGGGAGTGGAGTGTGAATTTAGATGAGTGACCCGGAGACACCTTAGTCTAGATGGACAGTGGCATCAGGTTGTGTTTTCAATTTTCCATTTTCAGTCTCATTGAGTCCCATGATTTGGTTTTGTGTTATGGTTACTTTAGCAGTTTTGGTTTCTTTTTGCTGATGGGGGTGGATTTTTACTAAGCTCATTGTATAACACCATACAAACTCTCTATCCCTCTCATTTGTCCTGAACGCCCCACTTTGTCTTTGCCTTTTCATGGTCTTTAACTTTGACTTTTAAGATACAAGTGTCTCTTGTGTTAGCATGGCTCTTATATGATTGTACCATGCTAATTTATATAGGAAGGCAGGAAAAACTTAGTTCTTAGCATTTCAGTGCCTGTCATCGCAACATTATTAAAATACCTCTTTATGCAGTGTCCGGAGTCCAGCAGTTTATGCAGTGTCTTCTAGAGCTCCAAATTCACAGCCCTGTGCTGCCTGTGACCACACACACCATGCCCTCTGGCATCTTCTTAGAAATTTCTTCCAGGATTTAGAACCAGCTTTTGTTTCCTCTTGAAGATCTGGTTTATTTATCATTCTCTTACAGGAATTCTGTAACATGACAATTCTCACTTGTTCCTTCGACTCTGGAAGTTGGAAGGCAAATTGAAGCCTCTGTTGTAGAAACTGTCTAGTCCTAGAGCCTGTTTGATCTCCAGCCTTGGTTTTTTGCTGGTTATCTTTGTTGTTGTTGTTTTAATTTTTTCCTCTGTATTTTATTATTGTTTAGGGTTTGTGTTTGTGTAGGTTACTTGAAAATTCTTTTTGCAGTGAGACAAGGCATTAACTAAGCTTACACTTGTCATTTCTGGTAGAAAAAGCCCCTGCTGAACTCTGCTAATGAGACTTAGATTATTTTTCTAAACTGTGCTGTTTTTGTTTTGGGGGATAAAGGGATAGGTTTTTTTGCATGATTTACTTTTTTGATAGGTAAAGTAGCATTTTTCTTACTTAGGATACACTTACGTAGTTGTGTCAGAACGTAAGTTGAAAGCATTAGAACTGCTGTACTGAATTATCTGCTTCCTAAATTTTAAGCCGGTTTTCCTAAGTTGATTATTACTTTTATGTAGGAGGAAATGAGTCTCAACCAGACAGCCAGGAAGACCCCCGAGAAGTACTTAAAAAAACATTGGAATTCTGCTTATCTAGGTAAGGCTGGTGGTGGTTTTTCTAGTACCTGATATTTCTAGTATTGTGCAAATAGTTAAAGTATATACAAATGTGATATTTTATGAAGGAGTATCTACTCATATCCATATATATGTATATGAAGACGTGGAATATTGAGTAATGACAGTCTTTTGACATTTGAGCATGGAACGTAACCTTCATGTCTGTGGTCCCCAGTGGTCTCGGTGGTCACTGTCTGGAATGCGTCTAAAGTGCCCCGCCCGCCCTGTGCTGCCGAGTCAGACTTCCTCACACTGAAGTTGGAGAACAAGTGTGCCACGTTGTTTCTGAAAGCACACCAGACACTGAGATAGCAAGTTGTTTTATTTATATAACACTCATTTTTAATCATTTTTCTTTCCCCTGAATAATACCCTTTTCTTAGTAAAACCTTTAAAGTTCCAATGGCAGAACTGGACATAAAGGAGGATGGGATTGGGTTTGATGTAATTTCTCTGAGTATGACAACAACCGATGGGCCGTGTATAAGGTTTTCTGTCGATGATGATTTTCCAGGTGTTTTCTCTGGAGCCCTGAGGATTCCACACAGGTGTCTGCTAGGGGCTCCTTGAAGCCTGTGGGGTGTATGAGGTGGAGGTGTGAGGGGCTCTGCTGGCCTCCTCCCCATGCCCATGCTGTTCCACGATTGGAGTCTGAGAATACCGCACCATGACATGGTAGACGCAAAAGGTGCAGGGGCACCAGTGGAACGCCCTAGTGGAGCACAAGTGTGAGCTCTCTGCCACTCACATCCATGTGTAGCCCCATGGGGCCAGAATCAGCTACACCTGGAAGATGGCCGAGATGAGGGTGGAGCAGGGCCTCCTCCTGCATGGCCTCCGTTTGATCGGCAGTCATGGGCCTTCACCGAGGGACACTGAGCAGAGGCCCCAGGAACCCAGCACTGTGCTCAGTTTTGAAATGTTTCTTAGGGCCTTGTTCACTACATTACATGATGCCTTGAGAATTCACAGGAAACATTGATCTTTGGCCAAAACACCAGAAAATAGCTCATCATGGCCCAAACTGCTGATGATTTGTGGCTCACCTTTGGATTTTGTGGGTAAAGTTACTGTTTCCTTCTTTTTAATTCTGGCTGCTAGGAAGCCAGGGCTGGATATAGGCCCTCTGGTGAGTGTTCCAGAGTCTACAGGAGGAATTTTGGGTATGACCTTATCCTGGCCTTTTTATGTTTTCCTTTCTTGTTCATTGAGCTGGATTTCTTTACTTTAAATTGTTTTTCTTTCTTTTTTTTTGAGTCAGAGTTTCACTCTTGTCGCCCAGGCTAGAGTGCAGTGGTGTGATCTTGGCTCACTGTAACCTCCACCTCTCGGGTTCAAGCGATTCTCCTGCCTGAGCCTCCCGAGTAGCTGGGATTACAGGTGCCCGCCACCATGCCTGGCTAATTTTTGTATTTTTAGTAGAGATGGGGTTTCACCATGTTGGTCAGGCTGGTCTTAAACTCCTGAACCCAGATGATCTGCCTACCTTGGCCCCCCAAAGTGCTGGGATTCCAGGCGTGAGCCACCGTGCCCGGCCTAACAAAATTGTATGCATTTTTAATAAACTCTTAAGCTACTTCTTAGGACAAAAATGACAGCTATAAATAATTACATCTTATTTAAAAATAACCATCTTCTCATAAATTTTGATTGTAGAAAGTACAGTATACTTTTACTTTTGCACTCCCTGCCTCTCCAAGGCCGAGATTTTGCAAAAATGTACCTGAGGCTGGAGAGACAGCAAATAACAGATGGGTCCTGGGCTGAGATTTAACTCCAAAGCAATACCATGCCACACTCACGCCTCTTGTGAAACTGGAATTACAGTAGGTGAAACTTCCTTTTAAAGAAATACTGATTAAAAGAGATTGTTTTCTTTCAACAGGGAGAACCTTGCTAGTGACATGTATCTTATATCACAGATGGATAGTGACCAGTATGTGCCAATCACAACGGTGGCTAACCTCGACCACATCAAGAAGCTCAGCACTGATGTGGACTTGATTGTGGAAGTGCTAAGATGTAAGTAAATGACAATTTAAATTAATAATACTTGTCCTTAGAGTATTTGTCTTATCAGCATGAACCTTTAAATCTATAGCCATCAAACGTTAAGGTCCTTGATGGCGAATCAGATTCTTTTCTGGCCTTCCGTTCCTTTCTGCCCAGGTCCAATAATTCTGGAGTAGCGCCTGATAGTCCCTGGGAATGCCAGTTGAACCCGTTATGAAACCTCAAACAAGTTTTGGGACATATGAAGTAGAAAAGAATCTTGTTAATGGGGATTTTAAAGATAGCTGTTTCATTCATGAAAAACAAAATAAAAATAACATTTATAGTTAAAGTAAAATACACTTTAGTTACAGTTTTACCACTAGAGGTTTTTCTTTCAAATTGCAACTTCCTGTTTATGTTCGGATGAAATAATTATTGCAATTTTTCTTAAAATTATGTTGTGGGCCAGGTGTGGTGGCTTACGCGTGTAATCCCAGCACTTTTGGAGGTCGAGTTGGGCGGATCATGAGGTCAGGAGATTGAGACTGTCTTGGCCAACATGGTGAAACCCTGTCTCCACTAAAATACAAAAAATTAGCTGGGCGTGGTGGTGTGTGCTTGTAATCCCAGGTACTTGAGAGGCTGAGGCAGGGAAATCACTTGAACCCAGGAGGCGGAGGTTGCAGTTAGCTGAGATTGTGCCATTGCACTCCAGCCTGGCGACAGAGATAGACTCCATCTCATAAAAAAAAAAAAAAATTATGTTGTGAGTGAAGTTGTTTCTTTGAAGTTTGGCAACATCAAACAGTGTTTAAGCATTAAGTGTGGATGGTGCCCCTACATAGTTTTGAGTGATTGGACATTGCTAAGCCTGACTTCAAGTCTCAATTAAGTCCACTGCCTATACTCACATAGAAGGGTTTTCACGTTGTCCCTGGCTTATCTGTACTGACGACAGTCTGTGCAGGTTTTTTTTTTTTCTTGTATGAATTTGACTTTACAGTAGTATAAAAAAGTGAGCATCTTACATGAGAACTTAGTTGGATTTTCTTTTCACAAATAAAATATAAAATAAAAGTTTTATGTTTTTCTGTTTTTAGACAAATAGCATGGGTTATTAAATTATTGGAGACAGTGAAAAAACTGACAAACATAATTACCATTGACTGTGAGTTCTGAGAGCGGCACTGCTGTCTCCCAGGATGGCGCCGTGCTCCCTGGTGTCATCATGCAGAACAGAAGCTGTTGTCTGTGCCAGCTGAATTGGGCCCCATCTTTGAAAGGCCAGCAGCATTCTTGTCCCTGTTTGTACTCTGAAGTCTTTTTGGTTATGATTAGGAGTTTCAGGTTTAGTTATTCCTTTTCGGACAGACCTTGCAAACGCTGCTGCCCCACTGGGATGATTTCTCAGTTGATTGTTACTGGCAAGGGGTCGTTTCCACCAACCATGAGGATATTAAATTGCTCTGTGTGCTTGCTTAACAGAGCCCACCTGCCCATAGGCGATCCAGGGCAGGCTTGTCACCTATTTCGTCCCATCTCCTCCCGCCTTTTTTATGACTTAACTTTTATCCATTTGCACTGAGCTCTTTAGTTTCTCATTTTGTCTTTTTTCACTCGATTTTTGGACAGAAATGTACATGCCTTTGTAAGAACCTATGTGACAAGAATATAGTTAGCAAGTTATTGCATTCATTGTAGCTCTTAAGAGGATGAAAATGTCATAAATAGGTCCGCAGGAGCAAAGTTCTCATCTTACTTTTTTTTTAAATTAAGTTGAATGGACGAATGAATTTATTTATTTTTGAGATGGAATCTCACTCTGTCGCCAAGGCTGGAGTGCAGTGGTGTCATCTCAGCTCATCGCAACTCTGCCTCCTGTGTTGAAGCAATTCTCCTACCTCAGCCTCCCAAGTAGCTGGGCATTACAAGCGTGCACCACCACGCCCAGCTAATTTTTTGTACTTTTAGTAGAGACGAGGTTTTACCACATTGGCAGGGCTGGTCTCAAACTTCTGACCTGAAGTGATCTGCCCACTTCAGTCTCCCAAAGTCCTGAGATTACAGGTGTGAGCCACCATGCCTGGCCTCATCTTATGTTTAGATCTTGTGCCCAAATTACCTAGCAGAGACTCAGACACACAGCAGATATTTGATGAATATTTAATTTTATCTTTTTACAAATTAAACTCAAGATTGTCTGAATGATTTTCCTTTGAATAGTGCAGCTCTTGTGTTAAGTTGCATAAGTTACATTTCCAGATTATTTTTAATGTCACAGTAAACACAATGTGCGTGTCCCAGTATGTCTGAGTCAAGGGCTGTTTTCACCCTTCATGTAACTGAACTGCTAATTAAAAAGACATGCTAAAATATTTGTCACCAGAATAAATACGTTGTGTTATATACACACAGTGAGTACCAGAGCTGTTACAGTGAGCTAGGCCTACATATTCCAACAAGAATAAATTTTAAAATTATAATGTTTATAAAAGCGTATTTCCAAATTTGTGCAAGGTGATACCATGTATATAAAGCTTGGGGGTGTGTAAAGCTGAAGCACAGGAATTTTTGTGGGTTCAGAGGAGCACGGAGATGGTGTGAAAGCATGAACGGGATTGAAGCTCATCATTCAGTGTCACGTCATGGGGGCAGGTGAGTTGGGCGAGGCATGAAGTGCAGAGGGTGTCACCCCTGCCTGTATGGAGGTAGAATTTACATACCATAAATTATGCATTCTAAGTGTACATTTCGTAAGTTTTAACATATTTATACACCCATGAAACTACCACAATCACGATACCAAACAGCCATCACAGCCCACCCCCGCCAAGCGTCCTCTACCCCCTCCCCAGGCAACCACTGATTTGCTTCCTGTCACTACGGATTAGCTTGCAGTGTTTACAAATTTGATGTAAATGGAGTCGATTATGCAATATCACTTTCTTTTGGTCTGGCATAACTATTGTTGTTTACTGGATTAGTAGGTGATTGCTTCTTTTTGCTGGGAAGTATTCTCTCAAATGGGTATTCCCAGTTGGTTTATGCACCTAGCAGTTATAGACATTTAGGTTATTGCCGGGTTTTGACCACTACAAATTGCTGTGGACACTTGTGTAAAAGTCTCCGTGTGACCATGTGCTTCCCTCTCTCTTGGGTAAATAGCCACAAGTGGAATGTCTGGATTGTGTGGTTAGGTGTGTGAGCAACTGTGAAACCACCTGCCTGTTTTCCAAAGTGGTTGGACCATTTTACGGTTGGCCACCACCAGCAGGGATGAGAGCTCCAGTTGCCCCATATCCTTCTGACACTTCGTATGCAATCATGTTAATTTTATGTTTTCTAATAACTATATAGTGATATCTTGTTGAGGCTTTAACATCTGTTTCTCTAATGATTAATGAAGTTGAGCATTTTTTAAATGAGCTTATTTGCCTTCCTTTTTCTTCTTTGCAGTAGTGTCTATTTAGATGTCCCACACATACTTTATTAGTTTTATTAACAATTGAGTCCTTTCTTTAGAAGTAGACTTTATTTTTTATAACAGTTTTAGATTCACAGCAAAATTGTAAGCAAAGTACAGAGATCTCCCATTATATCCCCTGTACACATGCATGGCCTCTTCCCATATGAACATTCCGCAGCAGAGGAACATTTGTTATAATTGATGAAACCAACACTGACACATCATTGTCACCTGGAGTCCACAGTTTACATAAGGGTTCACTTGGTATTGTATATTCTATGGGTTCAGACAACCATATAGGGACATTATCTACCATTACAGTATCATACAGGGTAATTTTACTGACCTAAACGTCCTCTGAGTTCCACCCGTGCATCCCTGCCTCCCCCAGTCACTGGAAGCCACTGATCTTTTTACTGCCTCTGTAGTTTTGCCTTTTGCAGAATGTCCTAGAGTTGGATCCTATAGGATGTAGCCTCTTCAGATTGGCTTCTTTCACTTAGCAATATATGTTGAAGGTTCCTCCATGTCTTTTCGTGGCTTGATAGATCATTTCTTTTTAGTGTGGAATAATAGTTCATTGTCTGGATGTCCCACAGTTTGCTTATCCATCTACCCACTGAAGTGCATCTTGATTACTTCCAAGTTTTGGCAGTTATGAGTAAAGTTGCTATAAACATCTGTATGCAGATTTTGTGTGGACATAATTTTTTAGCTCCTTTGGATAAATACCAAGGAGCACAATTGCCAGATCATATGCTAAGAATATTATTTGTTTTGTAAGAAGCCACCAAAGTGTCTCCCAAAGTGGATGTACCACTTTGCATTCCCATCGGCAGTGAATGGGAGTTCCTCTTGCTCCACATCCTCGGCAGCATTTGGTGGTGTCATTGTTTGTGATTTTTGCTGTGCTGACAGGTATGCAGTGACATCTCATTGATGTCTTAATTTGCATTCCCTATGACATATGATGTGAAGCGTTTTTCCATATGTAGATTCGCCCTCTGTAAATCTTTTGTGAAGTGTCTGTCCAGGTCTTCTGCCCATTTTTTAATCTTGTTCATTTTCTTATTGTTGATTTTTAAAGTTTTTTGTGCATTTTGATGTTAACAGTCCTTTATCAGATGTGTCTTTTGCAACTATTTTCCATCAGTCAATGGCTTCTCATCCTGTTGACGTTGCCTTTCACGAAGCAGAAGTTTTAAATCTTAATGAAATTTTTTCATGGATCATGCCTTTAGTGTGGTATCTAAGAAGTTATTGTCAGACCCAAGGCCTTCTAGATTTTCTCCTATGTTTTCTAGGACTTAAGGTTTTGCATTTTACACTTAGGTCCATGATCCATTTGGGGTTAATTTTTATGAATGGTGGTGCCAGGTCTGCACCTAGATTAATTTTCTGCATGTGGATGTCGAGTGGTTTAGCAGCACTTGTTGAAAAGATGCTCCTTTGCTCCACGGTCACATTGTCAATGATGTATGTGTGTACACTTAAATATGTATTACACGTGATTTACAAATATGCTCTCTAAGTGTACAGCTGTTTTTTTTTTTGTTCTACCAGTGTCTTTTGAGAAGCAGAAGTAGACATTTTTTATATAGTCCAATTTGTAAATTTTTTTCGTGTTACAGATCTTGCTTTTGGTGTTGTACCTAAGAAATCTTTGCTTGGTCCAAGGTTATGATAGTTTTCCTTTTATTAGTTTTATGTTTTACATTTGAACATTCGAGTCTGTCATCTATTTTGTGCTGATGTTTGTACATGGTGTGGGGTATGGATCCTGTGTGCATCTGTTGCAGCACCCCACGTGTCTGGGGCCTTGTCGTATTGACTGCCCGTGCACGTGGGTGTTGGTCTCTGGAACGTGTGTTTTATTCCCTTGATTACTTGTCTGATTGGATGCTAACACTACAGTGTCTTAATCACTGTAACGTTATAGTGAGTCTTAAAGTAGGTTCAGAACCTCCAGCTTTGCTGTGGCCCTTGTAAATGTTTTGCATTTTTATATGAATTTTAGAATCATCATTACAATTTTTCAAAAAGTCCTGTTGGTGTTTTTATTGGGATTGCATTGATTGTATAAATTCACTCGAGAAGAATTCACGCATTCTACCAGTGTTAAGTTTTACAACCCACAAGCACAGAATATGTCTTTATGTAGGTCTTTAAAATGTTCTTTTGGCAGTGTTTTGCAGTTTTCAGCATATGAGTCTTTGATGATCTTTTGTCAGATTAAGATATAAAAACTAAGTTACAGTCATGCACCAGTTACCTTTCTTGTAGGGTGAGCTTTGGTGGTTTATGTCTTTTAAGGAATGTTTCTGTTTCATGTAATGTATTAGTGTGAACTTTTTCATAATATTCCGTTGTTATCTTTTTCCTGTTGATAGAACCTGTAATGATGTTGCCACTTTCATCCTGATGCTGGTGATTTGTGTCTTTGTGACAGTGGGCACCTCTGAGCCCTAATTGTGATCATTACTTGCTGTGACTCGAATCTGCGCATTGCGTAATTTCTTAGATGTGATGCCAAAACCCAATTTATGTAAAAACTGGCGAAATCTAAATTAGGCCTATTACTGCAGTCACATGAGCATCCTAATGTAAACAGTGCACGACCGTTAGGTGAGGGATGATCATCAGGGAGCCAGGGAAGGGCACACAGAAACAAGTTATGAAACAAGATTATCTCACTTTAGGTACTGGTGGAAAGGAGAAAGCCGTTAACCCTGTATTTTCATCTGCTCTTAGTGCTTGAGCTGTTTAGAACCTTTGTTTCATAGTGTTACATACATTATGGCTCCTGCAGGATTTTAAATGTCCATATTCCTGAGCTTTGAAAAATCTAACGTGAGATTGGTTTACTTTGCCCATTTGCAGGTTTCTTTAGCTTATTTAGTAATATAGTAATATAATGTAACACATTCCACTGGCATATCATATTTTAATATTTTTGTTTCACCATTGATTTTTCTTCTCTTTGTAGCTTTACCTTTAGTCCAAGTGGATGAAAAGGGAGAAAAAGTAAGGCCAAATCAAAATCGCTGCATAGTAATATTGCGTGAAATATCTGAATCTACCCCCGTGGAAGTAAGTAATTTCTCCTCTGAAGGTTACTTGGACATTTTCCCAAAGGTCTTTGTTGGTTTTGATTTTATTTTACTTTTGTGTTTTTTTGGGCTGTGTGTTTTTTAGACTGAGTACTTACATTAACACTGTTTTCCCAGGATTTACACACAGTGAGTTACAGAGTAGGAGGGAATGATAACCAAACCTTTTGATCTCAGGACTCCTTATAATAAGATAGTGAAGGTTTATGCATTTCTATATTTAGAAATTAAAAATAACACATTTAAATATTTATTTAAAAATAAGATTAGTAAACCCATAAATAATGAAAAAGAGCACTTTTGTGATAAAAAAAACTTTTCAAAACAAGTATTTCTATGACAAAGGGGCATCGTGAATAACTCCCTGAGCCACCAGTGCAGCCTGGTCCAAGCCAGCACGGCCACTCTTAGAGAACTGGTAACTTGGGGAGTAATTTTTTTTTTTTTTTTGAGATGGAGTCTTGCTCTGTTGCCCAGGCTGGAGTGCAGTGGCGCAACCTCGGCTCACTGCAAACTCCATCTCCCAGGCTCAAGCAATTCTCCTGCCTCAGCCTCCCGAGTAGCTGGGATTACAGGCGCCTGTCGCTGCGCCCAGCTAATTTTTCTATGTTTAGTAGAGACGGGGTTTCACCATCTTGGCCAGGCTGGTCTGGAACTCCTGACCTCATAATCCACCCGACTTGGGCAGTAATTTTAGGGAACCACAGTATCTGATAGCTTAAAAGTAATGAAAAGCCATTTACTGTTATGTGTTGCTATAAAATCTACTGTTTGTCCAGATGCCTAAACTGAGTTGCTTTGTGTAGTAAACACACTGATGGTCACACCTTGAGATCATGAGGTAAAGTCTTTGTAGAAGGTGCTGGCAACTTAGTTTATCCTACCTCAGAAAACGGAATCTGCCTGCTTTGGGGACTCGCAGAACACAGGAAGCCTGGGTTTGTTGTTGGTCTCATCTCTCACATGATTTCAGCCTCGTCGTTCATGCTACCTCTTTCCACACACCTTCTCTGCAGAGGAGATGGACGTTGCGGTTCAGGCTTTTCAGTCCGAGTGGGTTAGTGTGTGTGAGAGTTTCTTAAGGAAAACAACCCTAGCATGTGAGAAAGGGCAGGATTCCAACAAAGCTCTCTGCCTAGCGTAAGAAATTCTATTACTCTCATAGAAGTATGGTCTTATTCTAGCAAGTTTTACCTTCTGTTCCACTTAGCCTGTCTTTACTAGTTCTATATTGTAGTATGTGGAGAAAAACAACTTAGGATTATAGTTTTTTCCTCCTATTTTTATTAAGGGTCTGAATATGAAGGACCAGCATATTTCTTGCTTGCTTTTTTTTTTTTTTTGAGACGGAGTCTTGCTCTGTCACCCAGGCTGGCATGCAGTGGCACGATCTCGGCTCACTGCAACCTCCACCTCCCAGGTTCGAGTGCTTCTCCTGCCTCAGCCTCCCGAGTAGCTGGGATTACGGCCTCCCAAAGTGCTGGGATTACAGGTGTGAGCCACCGCGCCCGGCCGAGGACCAGCATATTTCTTATGATTAATTTGGACATCTGTATTAACTCAAAGTAATATTTAAAACATAGATCCTAATTTTTAAGACTTGAAATGTTTGTAAAACTTTAACCAAGGAGAATTTTCTGCATTTAGCAGTAGACATTGATTTTGGAGTATTTATATTATTCAAAACTGCTGACCTTATGTCTTTTGTAAAACTTGAGCAATGAAAGTCTTAAGAGAGAAGGTTTAAAGGAAACTCTTTGATAAATTAAAAGTTGGGGAAAAAAAGGAAGGAAAATAAGTAGCCTAAAACAATCCACGTAAGAACATAAGTTCCCAAGGACTCTGTATAATTATTATAGAGCCCTTCTACTGGGTCTTAGAAATGTAGGCTAGGAGTTTCCAGAAAATTATTCTTTAAATGTCACTAGGTACTTGTCAGTGATTAGTACATTTTAAATACTGATTCTGATTTTCTTAAAAATAGGATTTTCCCAGAGGCAGAGGAGTCAACCATTCTTGCCACTAGTAGACTGATAGTCTAGTGGCCTTAAAGTATTATTGTTTGACTTTAAAAGTCATAATCCTAATTTACCGTTAGTCAAGTATGACTTTGCGTTGATGTGTTTTATCTTTTAACCAGTAAGCATTTACCAGTGATGGGACAACAACATAGGGCATTAGAATCCCTGGAAACCGTTTTTGTAGTTCATTTGGTTGTCAAATTCCTTTTGTACTTTTTGAGGTGTACCTGGCTAGTAATTTTTTATGGAATGGCCCTGTTTTTCCTTGTTGCTGTTTTTCCTCTGGAATTTGGAATGAATATAGCCACTCTCACGTTCCTTGATTGACATTAGTATGGTATGTCTTTTCTATCCTCTTTTAACCAACCCATTTGTGTTTTCATATTTAAAGTGGATTTCTTGTGAGCAGTGTGTAATTGGGTCTTGCTTTTCTTATCCAATCTGAAAATTTCTGTCTTTTTTTTTTTTTTTTTTGAGGTGGCATCTTGCTCTGTTGCCAGGCTGGAGTGCAGTGGTGTGATCTCAGCTCACTGCAACCTCTGCCTCCCGGGTTCAAGTGGTTCTCCTTCCTCAGCCTCCCGAGTAGCTAGGACTACAGGCATGCGCCACCATGCCAAGCTAATTTTGTACTTTTAGTAGAGACAGAGTTTCACAATGTTGGCCAGGATGGTCTTGATCTTTTGACCTCGTGATCCGTCCTCCTCGGCCTCCCAAAGTGCTGGGATTACAGGCGTGAGCCACCGCACCGGGCCCAATTTCTGTCTTTTAATTGGGAGTGTAGCCCATCTACATTTAAGAGGTTAATGATGTAATGATGTGATTAAATTTAAATTTATCATCTTGCTGTTTGTTTTCTGTTTTGTCTCTTCTTTATTTTCTTTCCCTTTCCCCTCCTTTTGTTTGGGATTAAATGTGTATTTTTATCTCCTTTTTTGGCATATTAGGTATAACTCTGTGTTTCTGTTTTTTAGTGGTGCTTTAGGGCATGCTTCTTCAGCCCGTGGGCGGCATGCCGCCCAGGACGGCTTTGTATGCAGCTCAACACAAATGCGTAAACTTTCTTCAAACATTTTGAGGTTTTTTTTTTTTTTTTTTTTTTTTTTTTTTTTTTTAAAGCTCATCAGCTATCGTTAGTGTTAGTGTATTTTATGTGTGGCCCAAGACAATTCTTCTACTTCCATTGTGTCCCAGGGAAGCCAAAATATTGGACCCCCTTTCTTTAGGGTTTTTAGCTGACCCTCTAACTTTACTAGAGTCCGTGTAATTCACAGAGCACCATGCCTCTTTACCTTACAGCCATGCTCTCCCATTTACAGCCATGCTCTCCCATTCTCCACTTCTAGCCTGTGCTGTTGTCACACATTCTAATTCTACACAGTCATAAGCCTCACAATACATCGTTGTTACGTTTGCTTTAAACAAGTCACTTTTAAAAAGAGATTAAAAATAAGAAAAACATGTTTTATATTTATTCAGTATTTGCCATTTACAGTCCTTCTCATTCCTTTATGTCAATCTGGACTTTCCTTCTGCCTGGACATTCCTTTAGCATGTCTTGTACAGGTCTGCCGATGATGAATTTTTTTCAGCTTTAGTATGTTTGGGAAAATCTTATTTCACCTTTATTTATGAAAGGTATTTTTGCTGCATATAGATTTCTGGATTGAGGGGGTTTTTTCCTCCCTTTCTGTGTTTTAAAGATACTCTCTCTTCTGGTATACGTTTTCTGTGGTTTTTATCACCATCCTTCTGTATGTAATAAGTCTTTCTCTGGCTGCTGTGAAGATTTTACTACTGGTTTTAAGCAAGTTGATTGCAATATGCTTTGGTGTAGTTTTCAAACTTCTCGTACCTGAAATTTATCGAGCCATTATTTTGTTAAATGTTTTCCTCTGCCTTTTGTCCTTTTCTTCAGAAAGTGTCTAGTCAGCTGTTAATCTTATTTAGTGTAGTTTTAATTTCAGACATTGTATTTTTCATCTCCAGTAAAGTTTGATTTTGGTCTTTTAAAAAAAATCTGGCCGGGCGCAGTGGCTCATGCCTGTAATCCCAGCACTTTGGGAGGCTGAGGCGGGCGGATCACGAGGTCAGGAGATCGAGACCATCCTGGCTAACACAGTGAAACCCCATCTCTACTAAAAATACAAAAAATTAGCCGGGCGCGGTGGCGGGTGCCTGTAGTCCCAGCTACTTGGGAGGCTGAGGCAGGAGAATGGCGTGAACCCGGGAGGCAGAGCTTGCAGTGAGCCGAGATAGCGCCACTGAACTCTGGCCTGGGCGAAAGAGCGAGACTCCGTCTCAAAAATAAATAAATAAAAAAAAATAAAAAATAAAAACAATCTTCCATATATATTTAATATGCTCAGTCTTTACCTTTTATGGGATATGGAATATATATGCAGTAAATGTGTTATGTGTATTAAGTCTATCGTATCTGTCATTTCTAGGTCTAATCTTTTGCATTATAGGTCATATTTTCTATTTCTTTGCATGCTTTGTGATTTTTGAGGAGATGCTCGGAGTTTTAAATTTTACTTTACTGAATATTTTTGTATTCTAATAAATATTCTTGAGCTTTGTTTTGAAATGCAGTGAAGTTACCTGGAACCAACTTTCTAGGTGGAATCAGAGCAGCCTTTTCTCTAGGGCTCATTTTCCCCACTGCGGAAGCAGTGCCCTTCTGAGCACTGTCCCTGCTATCCTGTGTGTTTAGGAGAGTTTTCCACTGTGGCCGGTGGGAAAACAAACCATTCCTCTCTTGGTGAGCCTTCCCTGGGCTTGTTCCCTCTCATCCCTCAGGCGGTTGTTTCCCAGGCTGAAGATGTGGGGAAGGCCATCTGCAGGCTTACCCTGCCGGCTCTGCGGCCCAGGCACTGAAGGCCAACTCCCCTGTTCATGTCCCTCTCAGGGATCACACTCGTGTTCACGCTGGGGTTCAGGGCCTGAAACTGTTCTTCATGTATTTTGTCTTTGGTTTTTTAATTGAGTCATCTGGGAGAGTAAATCTAGTCCATCATGGCCAGAAGCAAAAGTCCAAGCAAATTTTTTTTCTTAAATTGCCTTTAAAAAAAAAAAAAAAAAAAAAGTTGTGCAGTTATCAGCCCAGAACATGATATGATAGTTTTCACATTAATCTAGCTTAATGGTATCTTGAGAGTAGGGGAAGCTGTAAGTTGTGTGACTGCTTTTCTCTATGGCATTGTGATTCTGATTCTGGAAGCCCTGCTGAACCCTCATCCTTTTTGGAAGAGAGATTTACTAGGCATCATGGTACGTTTGTTTAAGGATAGTTCCTTAAGAGAATGCATTTGTTAAAAAAATTTTTGGTGAGGACAAAAACTGACATTGTTGAGAATTAATTTCTAACATCTCTATTTCCTGTAGGAAGTAGAAGCACTATTTAAAGGAGATAATTTACCAAAATTTATAAACTGTGAATTTGCATATAATGATAATTGGTTTATTACATTTGAAACAGAAGCTGATGCACAACAGGTAAGTTCTTTCCACCATCACCCTATGAATTGCATAGTTTACCAGTTTTTACTATTAGTGCATGTTGGGACTAAACTTGGGCATTGAGATTACTTGTGATGGTAAGTTTGAATATAATCTGCAGAGGAAATCAAGTTGTAGAAACTTAAATATTTGAGTGTATTTGTATGGACAATTTTTATAGCAATATAAAAAGCATGTGATTTTACTTTCTAAGGACAACAAGCTAAGCAACCTAGGAAAATCAGTTTTGTTCTTCTATCTGGGCAGAGAAGTTTTACTATTTGCAAAGTGTTTGGGGGGAAATTTGAACCTAATCTTCATCTCCCAGCAGACTTCATTGTATTTTGGAAGATGCTTTTAATGGTATTGAGAAGTAAGCTCTGTAAGGAGGCGTGAGGAGTTAGTAGTTTTCCTGCTTTTAAGGGAAGCATCTTATTTGTGAGGAAACTAACGCACATATTATAAAGTGTTAAATGGTATAAACAGTATGTGGGGTTCAGAAAAGAAAACACAGAAACCTGAAAGATGGGTTTTAATTGGATGGAGGGGGAAAAGGGGAACGGAAGATAGAGTAACCATTTTTGTGGAGTGGAGTGTGAGCTCTGCCAGCCCGTGTGGCGAATGTGGTCGGATGATATTGAATCAGGTGCAGGGCCTTCACAGTTTTATAGGGGTTTAATGTAGAATTAACATGGAGAAGAACAAGGAGATATATCAAGAATGACTTTTGGATGTTATGATCCTAATCCTTTTCCTTCCTGTCTGGTATTTCCTGAACTGCATTCTCCTAATCTGAAATTGGGATGAATACTAGGAACTCAGTATTCATCATTTTCCACCAGGTCAAGGTTCTTAGCCAGTGGTCTTTGGGAGACTTCTATGGCATCTGTTAATACTTACAAAATTGTGTACAAATCTTGTTTGTGAGAATTTGGGGTACACGTTCCATAGCTCTTATGAGGTTATTTTAAGGGATCTGTGACCCAGGGAGTGTCAAGAATCATTATTCTAGGTTCTGTTCACCATAATTTAATTATATATTTCCCTATTTGAGCTATTGAGTGAACTATTGGTGCCTCTTATTCATAAGGTTAATCGAATGGAATTTTGTACTTAATTTTGCCCTTAGGCTTACAAATACCTTCGAGAAGAAGTCAAAACTTTTCAAGGAAAACCAATTAAGGTAAGCAAGACCATTGGTTATACTTTGTTTATTTGCAAATTGATGTTCTTAAGTATTCTAATAGAAACTTACATATTTTCAAACAGGCACGGATAAAAGCAAAGGCAATAGCTATAAACACATTTTTGCCAAAGAATGGATTTAGACCCCTGGACGTGAGCCTGTATGCCCAGCAGCGCTACGCGACGTCGTTCTACTTCCCTCCCATGTACAGCCCCCAGCAGCAGTTCCCCCTGTACAGCCTGATCACTCCCCAGACGTGGTCAGCAACGCACAGCTATCTTGACCCACCCTTGGTACGTCATTTCTTTACTAGGAATTTATGTTGTAGACACTATGCTAGATAATTTGAAGGATTAAAATCCTCATCTAATAGGAAGCCAGATATGTGTGCAGTCTGACATACTAAAACAGACCTTCAAGTTATGTGGGGGATTTTAAATGTAGCTGAGAACAGAGCTTATGCATAAAGAACTTTGGATTGCTGTGAGCACAATCCTTGCACAGCCCGTCTCCCCTCTTGTCATGCAGCTCTTAGCAAGACGCAGAGGGCGATAAGTGCTGTAGTGTACCTGGCGTCCCCTACACAGAGTACAATGCAAGGGGGATTAACTGAGGAGGAAGAGGTGTTTAATAGGCTTCTGACAGCAAGGCCAAGGAGAAGGCCTGCTGTTTTACCAGCCTTATTTTACTCACTTCTCACCAGCATTAGAGTTGGTCGACAGGATTAATTTTTATGGATTTTGGCCTTTGTTAAGGCCTATGGTTGGAATTCATAAGTCTGTACTGGATCTAGACATTGTCTCTTTGTGTGCTGCTATAGATGCTTGAAAGATCAAGTGCATTCTGGGTGGGAATTAGCATGAGTTTGGTGGCATTGGATGCACGAGAGTCAGCAATACACGGATGAGCATGTCCTTGAAGCTGAAGTCTAGTTGAGAAGTGAAGATGGGTTCATGGCCTAGAGGTTTGCATGAGGTAGCAATGCAGGTTAGTTGGAATTGGAGAGATTGAAGGGTAGCATACATAGAAGGTTATGGTCAGAAAGCAGAAATTGAGTTAGTAACTTTGAGAAGAGTTCATGTCCAGGGTTTCGCTGTGGACTAAGGGAAAGACTGAGTGGTCCTCAGGGTCGGATGGCTGGGAGCCAGGCACCCTGATGTGCAGGGATGTCACCGCTGACAGGCAGAAAAGGAGGGTAGGTGCAGAGCAGAGAGAACTTGAGAAAACAAGTGCCTGTATACACGGAAAGTAAAGATACGGGTCCATGAAACAACTCAGGCTGGAAAAGTCAAACATGCCAAGGAGACACGTGTACAGAATGCCAGAACACTGACAGGTCTTATCAGGGATTGTGTTGTCATCTAGGTTGAGCTTTTCAGGTTAAGTATGAGTTTTTCAGAAGGAATCAAAGAGAAGTTTCATGAACAGAAGATGGTCGTAGATTCATGGGTGTCTGAGCTGAAGCGTACACCGGGTGGCAGGGAGTTGGGGAACGAGCTGGCAGTTTCCAGGCCTAACTGCGCAGGTGCTTAGCTGTCCTGAGGCATGTGGGCTTTGGCCTAGTGCTTGTGGGAAGGTGTCTGAGGTTTCTAAGCGGAGAAATGAAACCATACTCCATTTAGAAAATAGCTCCTAAGGCCGTGTGAAGGGCAGGTGGGGACAGGGAGAGATTTTCAGAGGACCCCAATTCCCCCTGAGTCTGGAACCACCGCAGTGTAAGAACCTTTGGTAAAGTTACTTCTGTCTCTTTTGAGTAAGTCCTGATGGTAAGAAAAGTTTCTGGCTTTTTGAAGTAGCACATTCTATAAAAGTGTACCCATAGCTGAATACTTCGTTTTCCCAAAAGCATATCATGAGAGAACCTCAGAGAGACTTGAGTCCGTAGGCTCTGGGTGTTGAAGAATCATCGCTGCACGTGGCTTGCCATGCTAGTCCTTTCAGTTCTTCCTGCAGCAGTTGCTTCTTCCGTTTCTTTAATCATGGTTGACCCTCTCGGGGATCCTTGGGGTTCTGGGTCAGCTTATGGCCTTGACTTATGTTGTATGTTCAGGTTGCGGTGTGTGCCAGACAGCTGGTCCTGCTCTGAGTCTGTGATACTGGGGCTCTCCATCGCAGCCTTTTACTTGTGCTAAAACATGTGCGTCCTTTGTTCTGCAGCTGAAGAGATTGTGCCTATTAATCCCCAACAAGTAATAATAGGAACGCATTAATAATCAACTTTATTTTTTATATATGACCAATTTTATTTTTTATCTTGAGCAAAATTACTGGAATATCAGGGCTCTGTCTGTAAAATGACTTGCTGGAAATGATTAGTCCTCATTGCTCTGCCCATGATTTACAGCCTCAGATCCAGGTCTGCATTCATGGCTCTTCAAGTGTGATGTATTTTCTTTTTCTTTGAGACAGAGTCTCTCTCTGTCGCCCAGGCTGGAGTGCAGTGGCCGGATCTTGGCTCACTGCAAGCTCCGCCTCCCGGGTTCACGCCATTCTCCTGCCTCAGCCTCTTGAGTAGCTGGGACTACAGGCGCCCGCCACTACGCCCGGATAATTTTTTTGTATTTTTAGTAGAGACGGGGTTTCACCATGTTAGCCAGGATGGTCTTGATCTCCTGACCTTTTGATCCGCCCCCCCTTGGCCTCCCAAAGTGCTGGGGTTATAGGCATGAGCCACTGCGCCCGGCCATGTGTGATGTATTTTAAAAAGTCCGATTCTTACAGAGTGAAGAGTTTCTCAAGTAGCAAATTGAAGATTCTAACTTCCCTTTTGTATGATTTTATTTTAGTCCTAAGCTATAATATTCTTTTTCTGTTATATCTTCCAGTTAGCTCTAATTAAGGAGAATTACTTGCTTTTTTCCTTTCCTTTCTCTCTTCCTCCAAACAAGGAGGGCTCTATGCGTATCTCTGTCACTTTAGTGACATTGAGGGTGTGGACTGGAAGGCCCTCAGGAACTAAGTGCCCTGTGTCAGGAGCATAAGGAGCGAGATATCAGTGATGCAGAACGTATTGGAAACCATGGGTCCAGAAGCCAGAGAATTAGAATGAATGGTCTTGAGTTTTGTTTGTTTGTTTGTTTTTAAAGGAACTGTTTTAACAATAAGTTTTATCTTATTTTTGTATGTGTCTAGATTTTAAAAATAGTTGGCCGATACTTAAAATTCTATGCTCAATATTTTTAACTACTTAAGATCTTTTAGGGGTTCTGTGACCCTTTCTAATTTCTTCTGAATCTTATGTTAGTATATTTGCATGCCATACTTACCTTGTGACTTGGGGAATAATGATGATCTGAAAATACCCTGATCTGCAGAGCAGGACTTGTGTCGGGGTAAAGGTAAAGGCCCTGTCAGGCTGTGGTTGGATGAAGCCGAGTGAGCAGCAGTGGGTGTGCAGGTGCTCCTAAGATTGAGAATGTTGATGAGTTGTATTAAAGCCATCAGGAATCAAGAACTGTTGACTTCCTGCCAGTGATGGAGGTCGTATCAGACTGACATGCTAAAGGTTACAACACTTGTTGGAGCCCATGCGCTCTTGACCACGTCTTTCCTCTCAGTGCCTGCTTCCGCATGTGTCAGTTCTCCTCGCTGGATTGTTGTAAGGATTGGCTGAAAGGATGCACAAAAGCTCCAGCCTACTTCTAAACAGCACCCATTGGTGATAAAATTGTAAAATACATGTCTCAGCATGGGTCATGACTCTGACAACATCAAGAAATGCCCTCAGTTTCCACAGATTTGTTGGTATTAATGAAATTGAAGTCTGTTTTATGGTTTATTTACTTGTCTGTTTTCAAATGAATCTAGGTAACTCCATTTCCAAATACTGGATTTATAAATGGGTTTACGTCTCCAGCGTTCAAGCCTGCGGCGTCTCCTCTGACTTCTCTCAGACAGTATCCTCCTCGAAGCAGGCAAGTTCCGGGGCGGTCTTAGCAGTTTTGGTCTTTACGCTACTGCCCTTCCGGAGTTGGGATGAGAGAGCTTTGATCACTAGTCCTGCTCCTCGCAGACAGAGCCACCTGAAGCACACAGCTGCATTCTGTAAAGACTAAGCACTACAATCTGGCATGGGTGCCCGCCTCAGATTCTCTGAGAGGAGGCTTTGGGGCAACTTGTACACATCAGGTGTGCCTGATTTTAATTTGGGCCTGGACTGAAAAACAGCTAAGCAGAATTGTGGCACATTGTTAATAGATTTGCATTATCCTATATGTTAGGAGTTAACCATTCCAAATCCTATTTTTATACTTTATTAAACAGAGAGCAGATTTCAGCTTAGCTATTCCATGTCAGTATGCATGTTATGTAATGCCTTGATCATTTTATAACTCAACACATAAAACCATTTTTATTTACAGGAATCCTAGTAAATCTCATCTGCGGCATGCGATTCCTAGTGCAGAGAGGGGACCTGGGTTATTAGAAAGTCCTTCAATATTTAACTTCACTGCAGATCGATTAATTAATGGTGTCCGGAGTCCACAAACAAGGCAAGCAGGTCAAACTAGAACACGGATTCAAAACCCTTCAGCATATGCCAAGAGAGAGGCTGGGCCTGGGCGTGTGGAGCCAGGCAGTCTCGAATCCTCTCCTGGTTTAGGGAGGGGAAGGTGAGTTGTTGAGCAGTTACTGTGTAACATCATAAACTAATATTTTAAAAATTATTTAATTTAGATATGTTTTGTAATTGTCTTTAAATATGTCACAGAAAATCTAACTGAAGGCTATAAACATAAGGGTTTTATATAATTGCTAAGACTTAAATGGCTTCATCTTTTTTGGAATATGAAATGGTTCAGTGAGAACTGTAGTTGTTTTAGATCATTATTTGTAGAAACACTGGAGCTCAATAGCCATAGACTCCATCCCATGTGCCTGCAGTCTCCTCTTGGCAGCACCCCTGGCTCACCAGGCCCCTCTGCAAGGGCGGTGTCCAGGCTCTGCCCCATGGCTGCTGGCCTGGCGCCCTCCAGCTGGGTGTGCACCAGGCACTGCAGGTGGAGCCTGGAGCGGGTAACCAGGCAGATCAGCATTGCAGTCTCATCTCATTGGAGGGTTGAGACTAGCCAGGACGGGTCTTAGCTGTGCTTCCTGCCCACCATTTTTGGTTTTGTTTAACATTTTTTTGGCATCAATCCTGTAGTAGGTTTTTGTTTGTTTGTTTGTTTGTTTGTTTGTTTTTAAGACAGGGTCTCACTCCGTTGCCCAGGCTGGGGTACGTTGGCATGATCATGGCTCACTACAGCCTTGAACTTCTGGGTTCAAGCAATCCTATTGCCTCAGCATGCTGAGAAGCTAGGACTTCAAATGCACACCACCATGCCTGGCTAGTTTTTAAATATTTTGTAGAGACAGGATCTCGCTGTGTTGCCCAGGCTGGTCTTGAACTCCTGGCCTAGAGCCATCCTCCTGCCTCAGCCTTCCATAGTGGTGGGATTACAGGCATGAGCCACCGCACCTGCCCATTGTTGATAAGGCCAGTTGATCTTCTCAGTCCTTGCCTTGGTAAGGACCGTCAGGATTTTCCTCTCATAAGTGACAAACAAGTGACTCAAATACCTGAGCTTTTTCAGGGTGTTCTATATACAATGTGTACAGCACCATCCCTGACGTGCAAGCTCCTCTTCCTGCCTGCCACAGTGCACACCCTCTGTGCAGTGAGAATTCAACATGAAGAGGCATCAGAAGCATCTCATTCCTGCCCATAATGATTCAATGAGCACATAGGAGTTCCTGCAGGGATTGTGCAGTGGCATTGGAAGGCACCATGGTCTGGGAGAGCTGGCACTGGCCTGTGTCTCACAGGAAACATGGCATCAGGTTGGCTCAACAGGCCTTGGAGATGCAAAGCCAAAAGGGGCCCACCGTGTCATGGAGAGTCAGTGACTTCAGGGAGCAGTTGCTAGCCCTGGGTCTCAGTTTGGGGTTCTTAAGACCCAGACGCTTGGAGGGAGGAGGGTTGCAGAGCTGGGGCTCAGACTTGGGACAGAGCCCTACTCATCAAGGCCATGTGGCTCCCTCTGAGGGGCATCAATTGTGGGCACGGTGTGGAAGGAGGCAGACTAGATGGACAAGGCCCCCCGGCCTCAGCCTCCTGTGCTCTTCAGTGTGCCTTGTTCATACGAGCGTCACAAGGAGTTTCCTGGCAAATGAAAGTGGGGCTTGTTGAATTCCAGCTACCTCACAAAATGTATACAGGTGGCTTTGAAGCTGAGAGTCCAAAGCTTGCTGACGAATGTGGTCTACCCAGGATACCCTTCAACAATACTTGAACTTCCAAATGCAACTGTAACAAGTTTATGCTTTTGCCTGACAGATGCAGATCTTGCACCAATGGAGACCCTCTCTCTCCCCACCAAGGGAGGACAACTGTCCTCCCACCTGAGACCTGAGCACTGCGGCAGGGAGTGGTTTAGGAAGCGCACACCAGCATGGGCACGGTGGGCAGGGAGTGGTTTAGGAAGCACGCACCAGTGGTTTAGGGAGTGGTTTAGGAAGTGGTGGGCAGGGAAAGCGCATGCAACTCCTGCAGCCTGTTTCTGCGATGGGTTCTGAAGCCAGAGCTGACCTTCGTAACCTCCTCCTTCCCTCTGTCTTGAGAAAGAGCTTGTGCTGTTTTGCAGGGAGGTGTGCCAGGCCTTGCTTGCCCTGAGAACCTGATCCACAGCAGCCATGCCTCCACCTCCCCTTTTTGGGAGGGTTTGTTTTGTTTCCATTAACTTTCTCTATTGGACCAAAGTGCTAAGATGTCCTGGAGAACCCCTTACCAGAGTCCAGACACATGTCCCTACCCTTGCATGGCGGCCATGGCAGGGCACGGCCCAGCTGGGTTGAATGGCATGAGGAGCCCCAGGCGCCAGGTGGCTGCCTTGGTGGAGCTACTGTTAGGATCAGCTGGGGGAAGCACACCTCTTCAGGGTCTCAGGCCTTCACACCACTGCATTCAGAGTCGCGGGTGTCACAGTGATGTTTCCTCTATGGTGCTGGGACCACCCTGGGTCCCTTGCTACCCCTTGTGAGCTGTAACCCACCATGGCCCTGTCACTGAGCCTTGGCTCAGCCAACCTGCTCTCTGCATGATGGGCACTGACAGCTGACAGTGTTCTACGGCTGCAGGTGGGCTTCTGGGTCTGACACGGGTTACGTGGAGCCCAGTGAGGGTGTGGGGGAGTGTTGGCTGGGCCCACTGATGGTGACTGGGATAGGACCCCATGGCAGGCAGGTCTGTGTCCTGGACACCGCTGTGTTCCAAGGGATGGGTGCCCCTGCGTCCCAGCCGGTAGTGACGAGCAGGCTGCCCTTGGCGGAGGGATGCCCTGTGCCGAGCCCTGCGGGATGTCCTCTGCCCATGTGGCTGCTGTCCCTCTGTCCAGCGCTCAGGGCAATGCCTCTGGGCAAGCAGGTGCTGACACCATCCGTCTCACACCCCTCCCAGGTCCCCAGGGCCAGTTGAGTCCTGTCCCACTGAAGACTCTCATCTGGTTGCATCCCTAGCTCTGCTCATGGGTCATTGTAGCCCCACCTTTCCACTACTTCTGAATCCTGGCGCAGCGGAGTAGGAGTTCAGCTCCCTGGGTTTTGGGAGCACCCCCTATTAGGGAGTGGTGCTGAGCCAGGTGTGTACTGGGGTGGCTGTCCATAATGCAGGCCCAGGACCCTCTCTCCCTGTGAGGCCACAGGCATGGATCCAGGACAAGGAGCACCAAGCCCCCTGTTCCTACAGGAGGTTGGGTTGTCAGGACTCATGCCCCACCTGTGGCTCAGTACTCATCCATGTCCCATAGTCTGGCCTGCAGTCTCCGCAAGGCACCAGTAGAAAGCCAGGAGCTATTTCCAGAAAGTTTTCTGTAGGAGATAATAGGGATTTGCTCCAGAATCCTAAAGGTTTGTGCCGTCCTTGCCCTAGAGGGTTTGGCCCAAGGTTCCACAGAGTTTTCCACTGTTAGGCCATCTTAGGCAAGACTAGTTTTTGGTTTTCTGTAAATGAAGGAATTAGTCAAGACTATTTCTTAACTCCTTTCCAGGTTATGTAATACAAGGCCCTTGGGGGAGTCTTTGCATTCCATTAAATTATCCATTGAGATGAATGTGTGTCATGTGACTTGTTAGACCACATAACCTGTCCAGGGAAATGGGAATGTCTTGGCCATCCTAGAGTCCTAGGTCTCCACGTGAAGTCACCACTTAATCAGTGTCTGTCCTGTGGTTATCAACTGCGTGTGTGGCGTGGCCTTGCTGCCTGCATGGGGAGGTCCAGAATGTGGTTCCTGAGGCTGGGAGGCGAGGGCAGGAAGTCTTTGGGGCACAGAGGTCCTTGTGTGGTTTTCGTGGGAAGGGGTCAGCCATTGAGGCAGTAGTGGAGGAAGCTGAGAGGGCAGAGGAAGGGATGGGACGCGGTATTTGGGGTCTTTTAAATCTGATGTAAAGCAAATCTGCGCCGGGAAAATTCTCACCACCATTTTAAACAACTCATTGATGGAGCTCAGTCTCAGATTTTATGTGTCTTGTCATTTCCACCCAGTGGATGTTCAGTACTCATGTCTTAACAGACATCCCAAGGAGGCACCAGGGAGTTGGTTTCAGTCAGTGTTTTCTTCTGTTCTTTATCACTTGCCTGGACTTCCACGTTAGTCCCTTGCTGTCAACTTTGTGTTGTTCTGCTTACGCTTCCTGAAGTTGGGATTTTAGAATTGAAAGTCATCTTTGAAAGGTTTCAAAGTGATAAAGACTGAATTGATGTGTACTTTGATTATGTGAGTGCAAACGTGCTCAATAATAAATTCTCCAAGTGGGAAAAAAATAACAGTCTTTCACTTTCCACTCCTCTAGGAAGAATTCCTTTGGCTACCGGAAGAAAAGGGAGGAGAAGTTTACAGTGAGTACATAAAGCATATACCTCTTCACAAGACATTTAAATCTAATTTATACCAAACCTGAGATTTAATTAAATGGATTAAGGTTAAGGCACAAGAATGAGCATTTCAAAAGACTTGTAACGTGAAATCCACTAAGTAATAACTGACACCCTGGCTGGCCTAGGAGGAAGCAACTGTAGAGGTTTTGGAAATAGCGATGTGCTGCACAGGACTCCACAGTGCACAGGCGTGTTGTGCTGTGGCACAGGCATGGCCAGGAACTTGCTGTCGCATGCACTGCAGCCTACACACGGGTGTGCACGTGAGCTCTTCTGTGTGGCAGCTGTACCGGAGAGTCTGAAATGACTGGAGCCATTCATTTCAATGAGCAGAGTAAGCATCTTCCACGGAGCAATTTGTTTGTCGGTGTTTTTCCTTCAAAACTTTCGAATACTCTCCCACTGTGTAGAAAGCATTATCTCCTTCTGCTATAACTTACTGGCAGGACAGACCCAAACATAAGTGATAGGTTTTTGTGGCGGTAAGTACATGAGACATGGTGATTTTTGCTTGGGTTGATTAATCAGAGTTTCTCCTGTGGAAAATGTTTGTGCTGGTCTTTAGTGGAGGATGGCATGGACTTCTCCACAGCCAGTGGTGGGATGGCACGGTGGCAGTTAGCAGTACCCACAAAGATGGGAGGGATGGCACGGTGGCAGTTAGCAGTACCCATGAACCAGTGGTGGGACGGTACGGTGGCAGTGTTAGCAGTACCCACGAAGATGGGAGGGATGGCACGGTGGCAGTTAGCAGTACCCACGAACCAGTAGTGGGACAGCAAGGTGGCAGTTAGCAGTACCCACGAAGATGGGAGGGATGCCTCCATGGGCTTGCAGATGTGGAATTCCATACAAGGAATGCTGGAGGAGACCTGGACAAATCCTGGTCCAGCCCCTCAAGCCATCACACAGGTGCTTTCTCATCACAAAAGATACAATCTCTGTTTAGAACTCAGAAATTGTGCCTTTCATGAGGTCGGCTTAGTCTAGTTTTTGTTTAACTAGTTGGTAAGGCAGTTTTTACCAGTTAATTGCAATTGGAATTAGTGAATTCCTGTGACCATTTGGACTAACAAGTCAAGCATCTAAACACAGGGCACTGTTGTGCCTGCCGTGATGTTTTCCCACAGCCATTTCTCTTCCGTTCTGTTTTGCCTTGCATTCCTGATGCATGTGTTCATGACTGTGACCTGCTTTGAAGCTTCGGCTTGTGGCCCAGTGTTGTATTGATTACAGAGCATACGCCCATCGTCTTATGTACGTGCTCTCAGGACCTCAGAAAGGTCCAGACGCTTTTTCTGTAAAAGTGTGTGAGCCTCGGGCCTAACCACGCCCATGGGACCTGAGCAGTACTCAGACCTCACCCAGAGGTGCTCAGATCCTAGAGGATTTTAACACTGCCTTCCAAGTCAAGTCCCATCTGTGGGTGATGTCATTTTGTAACTCCCACATCTGGGCAGTTGTTGCCTGCCTCTTTTGCTTCTACAAGTTGAGATTTAAATACATTTTTGGGGAAGGCTGTCTCTCTAATAATGCTTATCTTCTGAAAAGCTGTGTTCACCTCAGAAACGTGCAGATGTTTAAAACCGCTTTGCCATCATAGTGGCCATGTGTAACTTAGAGCTTTGCAGGATCATTTTGAGCATCATATTCACAATACTAGGTTACAGAGAGCATACAACAGCCAGCTGCTCAGTAGGTAACAAGCTTACTGCCAAGGACACCTAACTGGGAAAAGCTAAGCTAAAATTAGGCACCTGTCGCGTGGAGCAGAGAAGCAAGCGGAATGCCCAACACAGACTGGACTGGGGTTTGTGTCAGCCTGAATTCATTTTCATCCTTTGACCTGCTTTCACTTCTGACATATTTTCTCTAGAATCTACTGATGCAGGGATTCACCTTCCTGTGTATAAACTTTGGAGAAACATTGGCACTTTCCAGTTAGGTGGATCCCATGAGATCTTTGCTTCCTGGTCAGAGTAGCTCATTGTTTCAGCTAAAAATAGTTGTATTCTTTAGTTAATATAAATTCATTTCTAAACTAAATGCAAACTCATTTCCCCTTTCTGTGCCATGTGTCCTTCAGCCGAGGAACTGCGTACTCGCAAAATGACTGCCAGCTTGTTAAAGCGGGTTGATAGATCATTTTCCAATAAAAGGTATTACTGCCTTTCTTCTGAGATTTGGGCTTACAAAGTACACTCACTTCTTATTATACTGAGTTTGCTTTCTTGGAAGTCAAAGAATCTGATTAGAATTTGTTGTCAAATCCTGTGTTTTTAATTATTTAAAAATATAAACTTTCATTAAGTTTATTTTCAGAGAATTCGAGCCCCCTTCCCTTTTGTTAAACCACTTTTTTGATGCACGTGTGTAAAATTTCTTACACAGGTTGTGGAGAGAGTGTCATATTTTGTTTTTTACAATTATCTTGTGACTCACATTAAAAACTATGCTGTAGTAACACAACACTTGTCTGAAAGTGAGAAAGTTTAATGTCTAGACTCAGGCTGCCCTGCTTTCCATCTGGTGGGCTGGAGTCACTCCAGAGTGTCTCCCTTGCCTTCAGCTGCCCCTGCTGTTCGTGAGTGCTGGCAGCCATGGGTGGATAGCTCTTTGGATGTCACCTTAGCCTCACTGTGTCCTTTGTGACACATCTCTTGGGCAGCAGCATCCTTGAGATTTCAGTTTTACAGCTCTGCTCTAGATGGTTGAAGTTGCTTGGGAGAACCTTCAATTGAGTGAGGAAGCCCTTGTCTGGGTTGAATGATCTGCTTGTTTCTACAGATATTTTCCAGACAGGTGTGGAAACGAGAAGCTGCTTGGCCTTCTCTCTCCATACCGTGACCCTGGGGTGTCATTCTGTTGCAGAGCAGCCAGACACAGTCTCCAACGCCACCAAAGCCTCCGTCGCCAAGCTTCGAGCTGGGGCTGTCCAGCTTCCCTCCATTACCTGGAGCTGCCGGCAATTTGAAGACAGAGGACTTGTTTGAAAACAGGCTATCTAGCTTGATAATAGGACCATCCAAAGAAAGGGTAAGGGATATATTGCATGTCTAATAGTTGCCAACAGTGTCTAGGTACGGGTTCCGTGTCAGGCGCTTTGCTGAGCTCTTTATACATGTTTGTTTTTAATACTCAAGAGAGGCTTGGAGGCCACGTGATTGCAGAGGTCACACAGATTTGGAGTAAGGCCAGCCTTGAACCCAGGGCTGGGCCTTCTCCTTAACATTGCTGTCTGATGAAGTCAGAGGTAGAAACGTGTGCCATGATGTGCCGTACACACCCTTTCTCTCACCCAGAAACTTAGATTGCATTGTCATTGTTGTAGTTCAGACCTGCCTTTATTTTATAAAACAACAGAATGAAATGGAAACATCTGAATTGTATTGGAAATGATTAAAATGTGTAGTAATCTACATGAGACAAGGAGCAAGAAGCCTGGGAGAACCTCACTGTAGTGTCGGTAGCTTCTGGTGAGGTCTGGGCTGCCCCACGAGGTGCCGCCTCCACTGCAGTGAATATCATCCCAGGAGTCGTCCCGAGCTGCAGATGACAGAGGACACTCAGCCCAGCACTCTGGCCTCTAATGTGCTTAGGAGGTGGAAGTGGGACTTGGCCGGCTGCCACACCTGGCGTTGAAGGCTCTGGGAAGTACAGAGGAAGTTTTCTGCCCAGTTACCTACTGTGCATAGGAAGAGCCCAGGAAGAACCTGCTGAGCACTCCAGGTTGCCGGTGTCCCCTGTGCCAGGGGCCCTTTCCCCAGCTGTGCCCCAGAGTTACCACGTGTCTGTTCCACGCCACATGACCGTGCTGCTTGCTACCCCACCCAGGTCTGCAGAGTCAGTGTCTCTTCCACCCTGGGCTTTAGGGAAGGCCCCGCAGTAGATAGAACCATTCCTCACTTCCTAGGGCAGAATTTAAGGTGGATTTTGATGCAGTATCTTTACAATGAAAGCCAGGTGACGTGTCTAGTCCTTTTCATATTGGTAGATGGTCATGCTCCTGTTTGGAGATTGAGTACATTCCAGGATTGTCACATTAGCCTTAAATTTCCACACCGTCATTTCTAAGGTATTAGTGCCTTGAGAAGAAATGCAGTTTAAAGATCATGAATTCTAGTTTTCCAACTGTAGCCTACTCCCGTTGGTATTGAGTGGAGGAGAAGAGGCAGGTCTCCAACCCTGCTTCAGAAACAGCAGCTCCTGCTGTGCCCAGTTTGAGTCTTGTGTAAGGTTTCTCTTGAAGAAAGAATTGCTTCTTTGAAAAGCCTGACCCTGAGCCTTATGCCACCACCCAGGTGTAGTGGGCTCCATTGCTGCTTCTTGGGAGCTTCTTGAGTCAACAGCGTGGCCCTTGGGTTTCAAAGTGGGGTGGAGGCTCCAGAAATGATGGGGTTCAGCCCTTCCCCTGTTGACATGGAGCTCGTGATGGTCACTCTGACTTGCTTCATGACCTGCAGTTGTGGATCTGCATTTCATTTGCATTGGGACTGCACATATCCTGAATTAATTAGTTAATTTGTTTATTTAAGATAGAGTCTTGCTCTGTCACCCAGGCTGGAATGCAGTGGCACGACCTTGGCTCCCTGCAACCTCCGCCTCCTGGGTTCCAGTGATTCTCCTGCCTCGGCCTACCGAGTAGCTGGGACTACAGGCATGCACCACCACACCCGGCTAATTTTTGTATTATTAGTAGAGATGGGGTTTCACCATGTTGGCCAGGCTGGCCTCAAACCCCTGACCTCAGGTGATTCGTCCACCTCAGCCTCCCAAAATGCGGGGATTATAGGCGTGAGCCACCGTGCCCGGCCCCTACCCTGAATTTAAAATGAGCTTTTACAAAAGGAGTCCTTTGCCCTCTTGTTTCCACCAAGCTGGATTCCTGCTGGTCGAGCGCAGGAATTGCAGCGGATTCTGGTTCTCCAGCTGGAAGGGCTCTAGGTCTGTCGTCAGCCTTCATCTAAGGGCAGAAGTGTAAAGAGCACCTGCCCTCCTGCCTTTTTTAAGTTGCATGACAAGTGTATCATCACATGCCATATGTATAAGATCAAGCACACATGAAATAGCCCCTGCACAGGGGTCGCTGGCTGGAGTAAGGAGGGAGTAAGTTTCACTCCGTCCTTTGCTTCCTGGCCTTGGGCAAATTAACTTAGAGGTATTGGGCCTCAGTTTCCTCACCTGTTGAGATGGGGGCATTCGCACACCTGCTTCCTGGGGTTGTGAATTCAGGGAGGGCTGGGAGCTCACATTTATATGGGTGTGGAGGCGCCGATTGTTTTTTCTCAGCGGTGTGAATGAGTTGTGTTGGACTGTGTTAGGATTCGACACTCAGCAGATATGCATGTGGTGTTGTGCCGTGCCGTGCTGGGCCCAAAGTGCCAGGTGGGTGAGATGTGTTTGATGCCTGTTCAGTTAAGAAATAAGCTTGTAGATCATCATTGCGGGAGAGGAGATAAGGGCCTGTGATGTAAGAACAGTGGGGCATTTGCCGAGAAAGAGAAGGGTGGGCGATCTGTGGGGCAGAGGATAGTCCTGGGCTCTGTGACATTTTTGCTGGAGAAGACCCTCTTCCCCTATGTCCTTGTGCTGCTCTCCCAAGGCTGTTCACGGGTGGGGTGAACGGGCACTGGTACCAGCTCCGCTTAGTGCCGGCAGGACTCTGATGAACACTCTTGACCCTGTTTCAGACCCTCAGTGCAGACGCAAGCGTGAACACCCTTCCTGTAGTGGTCTCCAGAGAGCCCTCGGTGCCGGCTTCTTGTGCTGTATCAGCAACGTACGAGCGATCCCCCTCCCCAGCTCATTTACCCGAGTGAGTATTGGTGTTCTTCCAGCGCCTTGGTGTTGACTGACTTGAATGGCCTGTGATGTTGCATGAGATTCAAATATCGGGTGGCATTTTTACAGTGATCCCAAGGTGGCGGAGAAACAGAGGGAAACCCACAGTGTGGACAGACTTCCTTCCGCCCTCACTGCGACCGCGTGTAAATCGGTGCAGGTGAACGGAGCCGCCACGGTACGTACCTCGTGCCTGCCTTCCTGCACGACAGCCGCGAGGCTCTGGTGTGAACAGACGCTGCGCACTCCTGCACCTGCTCGTTTTTTAATCACATCTAATTTGGTGGGTTTTTATTTGCGTCTGTCTGTGTTGTGTTTTCTGTACAAAATACCTTTAATATTTGCTAATAATTTTCCACTAACTACTCTAGTTCTTTCTCAGACCACCATGTAGTCCTTTTATTTCAGTGTTGGTCAATAGAGGTTTCTTGAGTAGTAACAAGACCCCAGCTCCTGTTTCTCCATAGACTTTAGGATCATTTCAGCATTTCGCGCGTGTGTGTATGTTTGCGTGCGTGCGCGCGCATCGTGTGTCTGATGAAGAGACAGGAAGAGCAAGATGGTGGCCCCACCAGCCTCCAACCCCTGTGGGCCCAGCAGGCCTGAACCCCAGCGACTTCCTTTCTGCTGTTTTCCCTACTGGGTGAACTGTGGCCTCTCTTACTCTGAGTTGTGGCCTCTGTAGTTTGATCTTGGGGGAGCCTTTTCCTTGAATTTGGGAGTTTAATCCCTTACTGTCCCCTGGGCTGAGTCTAAAAAAGGATTTTTTATAGGTTAAAATTAATAATTTTAATAATAAATAATAATAATAATAAAAGAGGCCAGGTGCTGTGGCTCACGCCTGTAATCCCAGCACTTTGGGAGGCCGAGGTAGGCAGATCATGCGGTCAGGAGATCCAGACAGTCCTGAACAACATGGTGAAACCCTGTCTCTACTGAAAATACAAAAAATTAGCTGGGTTTGGTGGTGGGCACCTGTAGTCCCAGCTACTCAGGAGGCTGAGGCAGGAGAATCACTTGAACCCGGAAGGCAGAGGTTGCAGTGAGCTGAGATTGCACTGCTGCACTCCAGCCTGTGCGACAGAGTGAGACTGTGTCTCAAAAAAAAAAAAAAAAAAGTTATTAAGGGAAATATTTTACTTTTCTGTTATTTAGTCTTTATGCTTCCACTTACCTGAAAACCCTATTACACATTTCTTGAAGATTTTAGCTGTCTTCATCATTCTTAGATATTTCCAGTCCTTTGTAGTTTGAAATGTGCAAAACATTTTTATTTAAAGACTGTTTTTGGAGTTTGCCTTTCAGGGTTGAGTACCGTGTGAGGGTCCATTGCCCACCGTGGGCACCTGGGACACCCTTCTGTTGTCCTGAGCTGGCGGAGCCAGTGTGGGCAGCATCCGGACTCTTCCTAGGCTTCCGCATTGCCCAAGCAGGCATAGGGCTGGGTAGGGATGGTGTTGAGTCAGCACTCTTCTTCGTCATGCCTTTTCTAATTTTATCCATTACTACAGTAGCACAGAGGGAGTGTTCTGCTGCAGGGGAAACTAAATCATTAGATTTTATGAACTTTTTAAAAGTTAAAAACACTAGTGAAGATGGAAACTTAGTTACAGTTGAAAACTCTTTTATCTTAAGTGAACTTGATTTCCTGTCTTGTCCCTAGAGACACCATTTCACACAGGTAACCCAGGATTGTCTGTTTCCAGGAATTGCGAAAGCCCAGCTACGCAGAGATTTGTCAGAGAACGAGTAAAGAGCCTCCTTCTTCCCCATTGCAACCCCAAAAAGAACAAAAGCCAAACACTGTTGGTTGTGGGAAGGAGGAAAAGAAGCTGGCAGAGCCCGCAGAGAGATACCGGGAGCCCCCAGCCCTCAAGTCCACACCTGGAGCCCCCAGAGACCAGAGGCGGCCGGCGGGGGGCCGGCCCTCGCCCTCGGCCATGGGGAAGCGTCTCAGCCGAGAGCAGAGCACTCCCCCCAAGTCTCCTCAGTGAAAACCGTACGTCTGGGAGGGGTCGCAGAGCGCTGTGTTAACCACAAACGAGACACTCTCCCACTCAGTGCGAGGGCGAGCCGCTGGTTAGGAGCTTGCAGTGTCTGAGGCCTGTGGGATCCTCAAGTTGGTTTTCTTCTGTGAGTTGGATTCTCCCCCTCTTGAAAAAAAATCGATTTTTCAGGATTTAATTAATACAAACCTTATTTTAGGTTGGTGCTTAACTGGAGGTGATGCATAAGTCTGATTTTTTTTTCCAAGATAGAAAAAGCATTTATCCTAACAAATTGGTATTTTTTATTAAGCCTCCATGTGGCTCTGAATGCAAGCTATATATAGTGAGTTTTTCTAAATTAAGGGAACTCTGCTTTTTTTTTTTTTTTTTAAGTAACTGGTCTGTAAGTGCATATCTCTAGAACGTCCCCGCAGATGAATGAGGGCCAGTGGCCTTGGCAGAGGCAGGTGTGGCCTCGTAGAGGCAGTGCTGGCCGCGCCAGGGCATCAGTGCTGATGTGGGAGCTGTGCTTCCACCTAAGCCGTTGGTAGGGGACTGTGGCATTTAAGAATGTAGAGAGCGCATCCTTTTTGATCTCCTGGGCGGAGTGAACCTGCAGGGGCCACCCCAGAAACCTTGGTTCTGATGCACTGCAAGCAAGTAACCAGCTTCTCACTCCAGTTTCAAGTGGCTATTATGTAATATAAATTCAAAGCACATTGTGAATAGAACCTACATGAAAACATACACTTTGTTGCCCACTGACATGTTACCAGAAGTTGTACCATGATGTTGTTTTGACCCCTGTGAGCTGATGGCCCCGGCCCTGCTCTGTGCACATTTCTGTCCGTGTTCCCCAGCACTCTGGTTGGAGAGAGTCCACATCTTCAGCTCCGTGTGGACATCTCCCTGTACCTCTGCATCAGCACATGGATTTAAGAGTTATGTAATCGTGAGAGAATGGTGTTTGTGGTTTTTCCCCCTCTTTGGCTGGTGGAGGATAAAGTTCCTGCTCTTTTACCTCCAAGACGAGGGCCTCATTGATTCACTTCCAGAAGTGCTGCACTTCTGAAGAACAAGGATGCACTAAAGTTAGCAAGTTTATAATAAAGTTAAATATAAATTATTTTGTTTTAAAATGCCTCAAATTTTTCTTTATTCTAAGCAGCAAACATTAAAATAAGAATATTTCCTGCTAAATGTAACCATACACTTTATTCCACAAAATGTTATTTAACAAGACTGAGGGTTTTTTTTAAGAAAAAATTATTTCCATCCAATATTTAAAGACTTGAATTTTATTTAAACTTGAAAATGACTTTGCCTTAACTTTTGTATAAGACAGCTTAGAGTCCATGGAGCCCGGCCCTGGGTTGGCGTGAGTGGGTCAGAGTTACTCAGTTACTGCGTGGATCTCCTGTCGCTAGTTTTACTGAGTAAGCATACTGTAGTACAAGAGCTAGTAGTAGTTTTTGTAATATACCTTAAAGATCTTCAACAGTTGATCTTTTTTCAGAATGTTGGAAAATCCTGTAAATGCAAATAGTCAATACTGTATTAAATACGTGCACTTGGAGTGTGCTTCGCTTGTACAGTTGTAAATAATCAGAACATATGAAAAAGGTACCCTACAGAGAAAATTCTGATACAGATTATTGATATATTATAAATGTTGCTGTTGAGCGGGATGTAGATAAACTAAATGTTGTGGTTTGAATATTATTTTGATTTGTTGAGATTTTCTTTTTTCTCTTACATCGGTGTGTTGAACTGATTCTGCCTCTTTGCTGCAAAAGGGAATTGGAAAGTCTTATTAAAAGCCTCCAGATGTTTTCATACTCTTTTAAAATGTATGTAAATGCATACTAATCATATCTAATGTGAAAGAGTTTTAAAGTATATAGAGAGCAAAAACTGGCAGGATCGTAAGTGAAGGTGACTAGTAATCTAATTTAAATCACCTGCAGCTAAGCATGATTGACCCTGCCAGAGGAAAACATGCCTATTTGACCATTTCCTTTAAAGCAGTTGCCATTATTCAAATACAGAGAAATAGCCACAGGGCTAGTGTTTTTCAAATGCATTTTAAAGAACATGGGGATTTTTTTTTGTAGTTGTCAGTTCACTGACCAAAAAAAAAAAAAAAATCAGAAATAATTGATCTGTGAAACCCAAACTCTCAATACTCAGAAAGCTGGGAGGCAACCTCGAGGCCTGGGCCTACGAGCTGCATCTTCGCTACGGAAGGGCCAGGGCGCCATCAGCCATTCCCAAAACACAAGGCCTGCCCGTCCGCCAGTGAGTCCTTGGTTTTTAATAATGAGAAGTCCTTTCCCCCAAGGTGTGAGCATTGCAGCGCAGTGTGTGTGTGTGGTTAGAGCCAGCTTAGTCCTTCACTTTGTCGACCGAAGTGGGAGCTCAACAGCTGCATGAGGAGGGCAGCGCGTGCATTAGCCAGTCGCCACTGGAGGGCTCTGCTGCCCTCCGGTCAATACACTGTAGTTACTGCCTAGCCAGCAGCAGTCTTCTGCATCAAGAACTGAAACGTTGCTCGGAGGTGATTTTTATAGCATCCTTTTTAATTAAAGGTGAAATACAGATTGCTATATAATGTCTGAAAAAACCTGATACTACTTCAAGAGTTTCTGCTCAGAAGAAAATGAGAGTTATCATAATAGGAAGCTGTGGCGGTCCATGCCAACTGTGCTGTGTCACATACAGCGATGAGAGTGGCTTTCATACTTTTTTTTTTTTTAAGTTAACACCCTCCTTTACCCCCAGCAGTATCTCAGGTTATAGAATCAGAGATGCAGCAGTGACAAATGGCATTTTAACTTGTAAAATCGTGTGATGATGCTTATCATTTTGAAATAGAAGAATAAAAACCTGGTCCCGTTTCACCAGACATGAATTTCAAGTGGAGTCGTCGTTCTCTGAGAGTGAGTGTCTTGACATTTTCACCCAGGCCCTCCTGTCATCACATCACCGGCTGTCACTGGCGGGTGGCCGTAAACGTCCTGCGTTGCTATATTAGGATCTCTGCAGTTCAGGCTTCAAAACCAGTTCAGTGTATCCGGGCGACGGGTAGTGGTGGTGCATGCCTGTCTGTGTGCCCCGCTGGCGAGCTGTAGTTGCGGCTTGCGTGCCTCGCGGCCCACTACAGGGCTGCAGACAATCGAGGCGAGGGCGCTGGCCGCCAGCAGCTCACAGCGCGGGGGTCATGTGGTCGCTCCTCGAGGGTTTCGTTTTTGTTCTGCTTCATTAAGACTGGAATCAAGCTTACATGTAAACTATTGGTAATTTAAGTTTCCTTTTGTGTCATTCAGTGTAAAACTGTCTAATTTGAAAAAAAATGTAGGTTATGAAAATAAAGATTTAGGCACTGTTCAATTTTTCTTTTGATTTTTTTTAAATTAAAATTTCTTCAATAATGCATCTTTTCTAAACATAGTTTTTTGTCTGTTCCCATAAGTGCATGAGAAAGAAACACGGGCCTCATATATGATTGGATCCTAAAGCCTTCTCACCTACGTGGGGGCTGGCTGTGGCACACGGGGCTCACCCTTTGTGTTTTAGTGGTTCAGAGTGAGCATTAACATCAGATGCTCATGCGGAGACAGCCATTACTGTGACTGCCAAGATGTACTGCAAAAATACATGTTCCTGTATCAGGACTTTGATTTTGTTAAAATGGCACTCTCTCCAAAGCTGTGTCCATGAAGCTGTTTGGAGCTAACGTTGGGTCTTCATGGTGATGGACTCATCCTTAGGCAGCAGTGATGTCTGCACTAGGAAGAGGCTGGCGGGAGGCGGGGCCCCTCCTGTGCCAGGCACCGAGTGGATGGGGGACTGATTAACATGTTGCTGCCTTCCTCCTCTGTGCATTGCCTTTTCATGTCGTCTTCCCATTTTTACTCTTTTTCTGATGGAATTAATATTCTTGATCTGTTAAGGCTATTAATCCTTTGTCATATATGTTACAAATATTTTCTTTCAATCTACCATTTGTCTTAACTCTTTATTTAGAATAGTATCTTTTACGGTGTTTAATTATTGTGTAGTAAAATCTATCAATCTTCTCCTTTGTTGAGTGTCTTGGACTTGCTTAAGAAGCCTTTCCCTACTCCAGGGTCATAAAGTTAATAGTGTGTGTGTATGTGTGCGTGTGTGTGTGTGTGTGCGTGCACACGCACACACACACACACACGCTTTTAATCCAGCTGGGCCTAATCGTGTGTGTGGTGTGCGTGCTTAGGCAGGAACCCAGTTTTACTTTATGCCATGTGGAAAGTTTCTTTTTCCAGTATCACCAGTGAGTTCACTGTCTCTCCACTGGTCTGCAGTGCTGCTTCTGTTACTTGCAGACTTCCCACGTGTGCATGGATCTCCACCTGGGGTCTCTAGGGTCTCTATTCTACACTGCCTATTTCCCTTTCTGTCCTAACACCATAGCATTTAACTCACCCGTCATCCTGTGTTGCTGAGAATTTCCTTCATAGAACTCATCAAAGTATGATTAACTGTGCTCCCTGAGGGCAGGAATTATGCCATCTGGATCACCAGCCTCTCCCTTGTCCTTAGCACGCCATCTGCAAATTAGCAGATACTCGGTAAATGTGTATTAACTCGAAGTATATTTTGTGTCTTCTCTGTGCACAGCACTGCCCTGGGAAGAACTAGGATGAGGTATTGACTTGCTGTTGCCACATAACAAACCCTGCCAGAACTCCCTGGATGGAAGTGACCACCGTGTATCTGTGGATTGTCTGCAGGGCTCTGCTGGGGTCAGCAGGTCCCACAAGAGAGCCAGGGCTCGGTCTCCTCATGGCTGTCAGAGGTTTACGTATTCCGCCTCCACCCACCAAAGTCTGAAGTTGTTGTATTCCATTCCTTGCTATATCCACATCTTTTAATAATGCTAAAATCCCGTGTTTCTCTAAAGCATTGGATTGAACCAACTGAAGAAGGACCACGTGTGTTGCTGGGCCTGCTTGGGCACAAGCCGTTTCCGATCCAAGTCAACTGCTGGTCTGCTTAGACGAAGGTGTGTGGGTGTCTCCACCACGGAGAGGAGGGACAGCAGGTGAGACCATAGGCCAGGAAGGAAGGGCACAGCCTAAGCGTGCAGTGGCTTAGCCAGAGACCCTCGTGCACCAGCCTTCAGGTGCTTATGGAACTTATGTCAGCCCAGGCCATATCCAAGTGTGTGATGTCTCGGAGCATATATGCCAGGCCAGCCGGAGAGGCTTAGCCCTGCCCTGGTGGAGCTGGAGGGCCGCAGGGCCGCCCGGTGGGGTCAGGAGGTTGTGAAGAGGATCCTGATACAGGCTGGGCCTCCCTGCAGGCGTGAGCCCCGGAGCACGGGGTGAGCAGCTCCACCCAGAGGGGCTTGCAGGACCAAGCTGGGACAGCAACCACCAGGCCCTGGGGCAGATCAGTGAGCGTCCAGGAGATGCAGATGCAGAAGACAGCCAAATTCATTCACCTCTGCGTGGGCCTGTGAGGGCCCACAGAGATGCATTTTCATTCACGACCAGGATTTCCTCGGCCGGAGCAGCCGCTTTTCCCAGCCGAAGCTCACTGTGTTTACTACATAGGATGTGAGTGTATAGAAAGACTCTCTCTAACGTTAGCTACGCGTGCAGAAATGTGGGGCGCTTACAAGTGTGGGCAGCCGCAGCCTGTTCCTCACCCCTGTCCTAACGGGACATACTCCACGCATGCACATTTAGGATCACCGTGTCTTCTCGTTGGACTGATCTGTCATTAGGACCCTGGACCCAAGTAATTGTCTTTGCTCTGAAGTTTTGACAGTAACAAAGGCATTCCAGCTCTTTCTTTTTCACTCCTGTCGGTGTAACGTGCCGTTTTTCATCCTTTGACTTTTAGCCCGCCTGTGCCCTGTCTGAAGGGAGTTGTCTGTGGACAGCACGGAGTGGTGGGTGTTTGTAATCCACTCTGCCAGCCTCAGTCTTCTAACTGTTGCGTATGGACCAATTACATCTGCCCTTTCTCTTCCCTGCTGCTCTGTTTCTTTTTTCTCTTTGCCTTCCTGGAGATTGTAATTTGCCAATTCTCAGTCCTCTCGTGCTCTCAGCTCCCAGTTGACCTTCTCCTGCTGCTGCGCCTCCCGTTTCCTGAGGCCAGTGGGGGCAGTGCCCTCTTCAGTGTCTGCCCTTTGCTACTGGGTAGTTTCTTCCAGGCCCACACCTTTCTACTTCGTGCAATGCCGCACTTTCCATGCCAGCTGAAATCCATCAGCCTGGAAGCACAGAGGCCGCAGCCTGGGCCCGGGGGCAGGTGCAATGTACTGTCCCCTGCAGAGGAAGGCAGAGCTCCATGCTGCTGTCGGGCCGGGCCACCGTGGTGGCAGCGTCCTTGGCAGGCAGCAGGAGTGTGCGGCAGCTGGGAGTGTTGCAGCCAGACATCTTAACCTCGGGGTGGGGGTGGGGAGACGAGTTTCTTTTTGTGTGGCTTTGGGAATAAGGAAACAAGTTGCCAGTAAATTGCACATCTTACTGGCTAGATTTAGGATCCAAACGCCGTCACGGGGAAGGGGCTTTCAGGTCAGTGAGGTCCATCCTGGGCTCAGGAGTGGGGCCACCTCCCCCAAGGTGCATGGTGACTGGAGAGAGGGGTCCCTGAACAAAATTGGGGCCATTAAGAAAGAAGGGGTAACTAATACGTCCACTCAGTACATTCGAGCTCCTCAGCCCCAGCCTGCTCAGCCTCCAGCCCATGTCTCACTGTGTCCTTGGCGTGGCCACCTGCAGTCAGTCCACATTTCAGATGGGACCACCCACCCTCCGGCCTGGATCCTCCTGCTCCTCACCGGAACCCCATCTCCACGGGCAGCCCCGACGCAGACAGGCAAGCCCAAATCCTGGGCCAGTCTTGGTTCTTCCCCAGATCCTTCCGAGAGTCCAGCCCGGCCATCTCGTCGCCAGTCTCCCTGCCCCGTTCTCCACCTAGCCCGAGGGTTCTTTTGTGGTAGTGAGCGCGCCCTGTTCCCTTGCTTTAAACGCTCCAATGGTTTCCTGCAGGAAGAAATAAGGTTTAGACGCGCGCCTGCAAGTCACTCCCCAACCCACCTGCAACTTCATCCCTGACCCCACACTCTCTGCCCATGCTGCCTGGGACCTGCTGGCCCCTTCCCGTGGAATTTGTTTCTCCCTTCCCAGAGATGCCTGGCGCCCTCTCCGACAGCCGCCTGTCCCCGGCTGCTTCTGCAGCACTGAGCACCGTTTGTAGTCGTCTAATTGGTCTACTTCTGGCGTGAGCCCCTTGGGCCTGGCACCCGTGAATGCTCTTCCCCTGGGTACCTGCAGCACCCCCTGGGCAGGGGACGCTTCCGGGTCCATTCCTCGCCCGGTGTCCAGACGCTGTGGACAGGTGCCAGAGGCAGCTCCGCAGAGGGCGCTCCGCAGAGGCCGCCAGGCCGCGTCCACAGCTCAGCCAGTGCAGGTTCAAGTCCCGGCTTGCGCGCCCCTCCCATCCCTGCGTGGGGCGGCCTCACCACGCACACCTGCCGCCGTCTGTGTCGGCCTCTCCCTCCATCCCTGCTTGCGCCCTGGATCCCCGTCCGCCTTTTTCCGCGCAGCAGCCCGGGGGTCCTTTGCATCCCCGCTCAAAAGCAGGGAGGCACCCACGCACCTCGCTCAGAGCAGAGACCAGAATCCAGGCGGCTGGCCGGAGGTTGGGCCCCGCGCCCTCGGCGTCCCCTGCACCCTCCAGGCCCCCCACGCGCCCTCGACCTCCAGCCGCCCCTCCGAGGCTCTGGAGCTGCCTCATAGGAAGTAAACCTAGAGGGAAAGGTCAGGAGGGATGGGAAGAGCCCCCGGCCACCTGGGAGACGGGGGAGGGCGGGAAAGAAACCATCAACATAGAGCAAGCCCAGGGTGGAGCTCACGTGGGTTCGTGGTGTTGACACTGCAAGCTGGAGAGGCGGGGAGAGAGGAGCCCGGGAGAGGAGAGGCAGGGTTCCTCTTTTAGCCAGAGGAGCCCAAAGTGACAGGAGGACGTGGCCGCAGCCAGGGTTCAGGGGCTCCAGCCACGCCGCACGCCGGGGATGTCACCAACACCCACTTAGGCCATGGGAAGCCATCAGCTTCCAGATTCTGAACACAGAGTTTTATGGTACCCTTGACAAGAGCAGTTGTAAAGAAGCATTTAAGTAAGCATTTTCCCCGGGTGAGGAGAATCGGCACAGCTTGAGGTGTGAGACACTGGTACTTCTGTGCAAAACCCGCCCTGTGGACAGTGGGTTTGTGGTATCCTAAGGCTGGGAAGGCATCTCGGAGGTTTTCTCCTTGCTGCAAAAACGCCTGTCACTGCCCAGGATACATATTTTGACCTCATCCTTCCTATTAGAAACTCAGGCGGTCCCGCCCCGTTGGCAGCCAGAGACCTCAGGGTGGCGCCTGGTGGAGGGACCTGCTGGGGAGGTTACCCTTCCTCAGGGCACCCACCATCCCCGGCGTAGGTCTACAGGGTCCTCCCTGAGGAGCCAGGGCCGGGCTCATCTGTGTCACATCATGCCTGCTGCTCTGCTGTCGCACTGGAGCGGCAGAGGCAGAGCCCGCCCCACCCTGCAGCTCCGTGTGACCCCGGCTGTGACCTCCCGGGTGGGTGGCCCTGCCGCAGGAGAGCCACTTTCAGAGATGCCCTGAGTGATCGTCACCAGCTGCATCCTGCAAACTTCATCTTGCTGTCCCTGTGGCTTGGAGAGCCCAGTCAGCTTTGCTTGTAAACATACATGTTACTTACAGTTGTATTTGGTCATGCCAGATGAAATTACTGTTTTTAGAGGTCAAAGTGAGCAAGTAGCAACTTTATATGGTTCCAGCTAATATTTATGTTACATTTATGTTCTGATGAAACACTTTTGTGCTACTGACCCATTTTTGTGGATGACTGCAGAAAATATACTGAAACTTAATGATGACAATGAAAACCTCAAACCTAAATGTAAAATAAAAAACATGAAAAAATGGTGGCAGAGCTCACCATCTTAAATGCTTTAAGAACATAGTATTTCTGTAAAAATCATGATTTTTACATTTCAAGTTTGTTAAATTTTTTGCTTCTTCCTTCTAAACTACAGGCGGCTCACCCACCAACCCTGTGTTCACTCCCACTGGCCACGAATGGGAGGGAAGGTGGCGTGGCCCCTCTGCACAGGACTGGCCCTCCCTCCCAGCAGGGCTGAGCCTGCAGAGGGCACAGAGTGAGCTGGGGGGTGCCCTGCCAGTGACTCAAGTTGGGAGGGGCCCTGCGTGGCAGAGTCTAAGGGGCCACCTGTCCTAGAAACATGCACATCTCGTGGGCTGCTAGTGCAGAGCCCCGAGGAGCTTCAAGGTGAGAAAGGCCAGAGCATGCTCCCAGCCCAGGACCGCCTCGGTGCCCACACCTCCCTTCTGTGCACAGACAGGACAGGGCAGGACAGCCGATGGGAGGTGTGGAGAGGTGGGGATCATGGGCCCTACCCGTCTAGACAGCAGGAACCTAGGTGGACCCTCCACGTCTCCAGGAGAAGCCGCCTTCGTTTCCTGAACAGATGGCCCCACCCTCGTGTCCTTCGCCCGCCTGACCTCTGCTTTGGCAGGAGGAGGTATTTCCTGCCCTGTTTAGATGCCATTCGAGCCCGAAAGACCGGACCTGGAGAGACAGGGCTCGGGGAAGACTGGGTCAGGGTGGGGAGGAGACAAGCTTCACGGTGTGCTGGCCGTTCCATGGGAGGAAAACCGCCAACCCCCCTCTTGGAACTGCCATATGGGCTGCAAGATGGCTGCAGCCTGGATGCCGAGCTGGGCCTGTGGGAGCCAGCCCCACCGGGGTGCGCAGGCCTTCCTGCAGGTCAGCAAGCCGGCCGGTGAGTGCCAGGCAGACACCCCCACAGGCAAGAACCCCAGGCCCTCTTCTCAGTAAACCCAGAGAAGCTTCCAGCCCCACTCTGGAGGGGCTCCTGCAGTGTGAGTGGGAGCGTCCTGTTACCCTAGAAAAGCCCAACAGGAGACAGGGGAAGCGATTTTTGAAATATTTTATTTGACTCTGCCCAAAATAGGACCATTTCAACACAATCTATGTAAAACATGATGAAGGAGACAGTTTGTGTTGTGTGGCCGTGACTGTGTCAGACGGCACGGGGCTGAAGGGTGGTCCTGGCTGCTACAGGCCAGAGCTGTGTCCTGGGGTCTTGTGAGACCTGGGGCAGCACACCGGGTTCACGCCCCTGGAGGCCTGAGGCTCGTCATCCTTGTCCCTGGCTCACAGGCTGGAAGTTGTGGGTAGAGTGGCTAATTGCTGTGGTTCCACACTTCTGTCCTGGGGACATCGGAGTACTGCTGGCTTACTGTGCACAGCTGATCCCCAAAGGACTCTGATGTTTGCAGCCACGTGGGACGGGGTGGAGTGTTCATTTCTACATTTTATTTTGTAGGATGGCGTCTCCCTGTAGGCCAGGACCGCAGGGCCCACATTCCCACCAACGGTGTATAAGCATTCCCTTTTCTCTGCAGCTTCCCAGCATCTGTTGTTTTTTGACTTTTTAATAATAGCGATTCTGGCTGGGCACAATGGCTCACATCTGTAATCCCAGCACTGTGGGAGGCTAAGGCAGAAGGATTGCTTGAGCCCAGGAGTTTGAGACCAACCTGGGCAACATAGCAAGGCCTCGTCTCTACAAAAAATAAAAATAATTAGCTGGGTGTGGTGGCACACACCTGTAGTCCCAGCCATTTAGGGGGTTGAAGTGAAAGGATCCTTTTAAGCCCAGGAGGTGAAGGCTGCACTGTGCTGTGATCGTACCACTGCTTTCCAGCCTGGTCAACAGACCAAGACCCTGTCTCAAAAAAAACCTCAACATCTGAAAGCATAGCCATTCTGACTGGTGTGAGATGGTATCTCATTGTGGTTTTGACTTGCATTTCTCTGATGTTTCGTGATGTGGAGCATTTTTTCACATTTGTTGGTCACTTGTGTCTTCTTTTGAGAAGTGTCTGTTTATGTCTTTTGCCCATTTTTAAATTGGTTTATGTGTTTTTTGCTTGTTGATTTCTTTTTTTATAGATTCTGGATATTAGATATTTGTAGAATGCATAGTTCGCAAATATTTTCCCCTGTTCTGTAGTTTGTCTGTTTACTCTTTTGATAGTTTATTTGGCTGTGCAGAAGCTGTTTAGTTTAATTAGGTCTGTTTCAAGTTTTGTTTTTCTTGCAGTTGCTTCTGAGGACTTAGTCATAAATGCTTTGCCAAGGCCGATTTCCATAATGGTGATTCCTATGTCTTTTTCTAGGATGCGTATAGTTTGAGGTCTTACATTTAAATCTTTAATCCATCTTGAGTTAATTTTTGTAAAAATTTGTGCAAGTAGGGGTCCAGTGTCATTCTGCATATGGCTAACCAGTTATCCCAGCACCATTTGTCAAATAGAGAGTCCTTTCCCCATTGCTTATTTTTGTCAACTTTGTCAAAGATCAGATGGCTGTGTGTGACTTTATTTCTGGGTTCTCTGTTCTGTTCCACTGATCTTTGGATCTGTTTTTGCACCAGTACCATGCTGTTTTGGTTACTGTAGCCTTATAGTATAATTTGAAGTCAGGTAATATGAGGCTTCCAACTTTATTATTATTATTTTTTTGCTTAGGATTGATTTGGCTATTCCGGCTCTTTTTTTGTTCAATATGAATTTTAGAATAGTTATAAAATTTTTCATAATTTTTCTAGTTCAGTGAAAAATGATGTTGGTAATTTGATAGGAATGCGTTGAATCTATAGATTGCTTTGGGCAGTATGGCCATTTTAACTATATTGATTCTGCTGGGCATGGTGGCTCACACCTGTAATCCCAGCACTTTGGGAGGGCGAGGCAGGTGGATCACGAGGTCAAGAGATCAAGACCATCCTGGCTAACACAGTGAAACCCCGGGGGTCTCTACTGAAAATACAAAAAATTAGCCAGGTGCAGTGGCGGGCGCCTGTAGTCCCAGCTACTCGGGAGGCTGAGGCAGGAGAATGGCATGAACCTGGGGGCGCGGAACTTGCAGTGAGCCGAGATCATGCCACTGCACTCCAGCCTGGGCGACAGAGCGAGACTCCATCTCAAAACAAACAAACAAAAAAAGCAACTATATTGATTCTTCGAATCTACGAGCATGGAATGTTTTTCCATTTATTAGTGTCATCTGTGATTTCTTTCATTAGTGTGTTTTAGCTCTCTTGTAGAGATTTTTCATCTCCTTGGTTAGATGTATTCCTAGGTATTTTTTTTTTCTGGCTATTGTGAATATGATTGTGTTCTTGATTTGGATCTCCGCTTGAGTGTTACTGGTGCATAGGTTTTGGTAAAAGGCTGATGCTGGCCTCGTAAGATGAGTTAGGGAGGGGTCACGTCTCAATTTTTTGGAATAGTTTCGGTAGAATTGGTACCATCTCTTCTTTATGTATCTGGTAGAGTTTGGCTGTGAATCCATCTATTCCATGGCTTTATTTGATTGGTAGGTTACTGCTTCAATTTCACAACTCAATATTGGTCTGTTCAGTGTTTTTTTGTTTGTTTGTTTGTTTGTTTTCCTGTACAATCTTGGGAGATTTTAAGTTTCCTTTGTTAATCCAGCTAGCGGTCTATCAATCTTGTTTAGTCTTTCGAAGAACCACTGTTAGTTTCACTGATCTTTTGTATGGATTTTTGCATCTCAAGTTCATTCAATTCTGCTCTGATTTTGGTTATTTCTTTCCTTCTGTTAGTTTTGGGGTTAGTTTGTTCTTGTTTTTCTAGTTCCCCTAGGTGTGATGTTAGATTGCTAATTTGAGATCTTTATAACTTTTTGAGATAGATGTTTATCACTACAAACTCTACTCTTATTACTGCTTTTGCTGTATCCCAGATATTTTGGTATATTGTATCTCTGTTTTCATTTCTTTCAAAGAAATTTTTGATTTCTGCCTTAATTTTGTTGTTTACCCAAAAGTCATTCAGGAGTAAATTGTTTAATTTTCATGTAGTTGTGTGGTTTTGAGAGATATTCTTGGTACTGATTTCTATTTTTATTCCACTGTGGTCTCCGAGTATGATTGGCATGATTTCAATTTTGTTTGAATTTATTGAGACTTGCTTTATGGCCAAGCCTATGGTCAATCTTAGAGTGTATTCCATGTGAAGATGAGAAGAATGTATTTTCTGTGGTTGATAGGTGAAGGGTTCTGTAGATATCTATTGGGTCCAATTGGGCAAGTGTTGAATTTAAATCCAGAATTTCTTTGTTAGTTTTATTCCTTGATGATCTGTCTAATGCTGTCAGTGGCGTATTGAAGTCCCCTACTCCTATTGTGTGGCCATCTAAGTCTTTTTGTAGGTATCGGTGTACTTGTTTTATGAATCTGCGTGCTCCAATGTTGGATGCATATATATTTAGGATAGTTTTTTTGTTGAATTGAACCCCTTATCATTATGTAATGCCCTTCTTTGTCCCCCCTGCTTTTTTTTCTGTTGTTGGTTTAACATCTAAGAATAGTGACCCCTGCTCTTCTTTGTTTTCCATTTGTGTGGTAGATCTTTCTCTAATCCTTTACTTTGAGCCTATCAGTGTTGTTACATGTGAGATGGGTCTCTTGAAGATGGGTTTTGCTTTTTTATTCAATTTTCCACTCTGTACCTTTTAAGTGGGGTGTTTAGACCACTTACATTCAAGGATAATATTGATATGTGAGGTGTTGATCCTATCATCAAGTTGTTAGATGGTTGCTTTGTAGTTTCTATTGTGTGGTTGCTTTACAGGGTCTGTGGGCTACGTACTTAAGGTATTTTTGTGGCAGCAGGTATCATTATTTTGTTTCCATGTTCAGAGTTCCCTTAAGGATCTCCTGTAAGGCTGGTCTAGTGGCAATGAATTCCCTTAGGTCTTGCTTGTCTGAAAAAGTTGTTATTTCTCCATCACTTATGAAGCTTAGTTCGGTGGGAAAGAAATTCTTGGTTGGAATTTCTTTTCCTTAAGAATGCTGATAGTAGGCCGCCAGTCTCTCTTGGCTTGTAAGATTTCTGCTGAGACATCTGCTGTTAGCCTTATGGGGTTCCCTTTGTACATAATCTGAACTTTTTCTCTAGCAGCCTTTAAGATTTGTGTGTGTGTGTGTGTGTGTGTGTGTGTGTGTGTGTGTGTGTGTTGACCTTGGGCTGTCTGTTGACTATATGCCTTGGTGATGTTCATTTTGAATAGATCTCAGAGGCCGACATGGTTTGGCTGTGTCCCCACCCAAATCTCATCTTGAATTGTAGCTCCCACAATCCCCATGTGTCATGGGAGGGACGCAGTGGGGGTAATTAAATCATAGGGGTGGCTTTTTCCTACGCTGTTCTTATGATAGTGAAGAAGTCTCATGAGATCTGATGGTTTTATAAAGGGCTCCTGCACACGCTCTCTTGCCTGCCACCATGTAAGATGTGCCTTTGCTCCTCCTTTGTCTTCTGCCATGATTGTGAGGCCTCTCCAGCCATGTGGAACTGTGAGTCCATTAAACCTCTCTCTCTTTTTTTTTAAATAAATTACCCATTCTTGAGTATTTCTTTATAGCAGTATGAAAATGGACTAATATAATAAGTTGGTACCAGTAGAGTGGGGTACTGCTATTAAGATACCTGAGGCCAGGCATGGTGGCCCATGCATGTAATCCTAGCACTTTGGGAGGCCGAGGGAGGCAGATGATCATCACCTAGGTCAGGAATTTGAGACCAGCCTGGCCAACATGGCGAAATCCCGTCTCTACTAAAAATACAAAAATTAGCCAGGCGTAGTGGCGAGTGCCTATAATCCCAGCTGCTTGGGAGGCTGAGGCAGGAGAATCACTTGAACCCAGGAGGCCGAGGTTGCAGTAAGTCAAGATCGTGCCACTGCATTCCAGCCTGGGTGAAAAAAGTGAGACTCCATCTCAAAAAAAAAAAAATGTGGAAGCAACTTTGGAACTGGATAACAGGCAGAGGTTGGAACAGTTTGGAGGACTCAGAAGAAGACAGGAAGATGTGGGAAAGTTTGGAACTTCCTAGAGATTTGTTGAATGGTTTTCACCAAAAAGTCCAGGCTGAGATAGTCTCAGATGAAGATGAGGAACTTATTGGGAACTGGACAAAGTTGATTCTTGCTATGCTTTAGCAAAGAGACTGGCAGCCTTTTGTCCCCTAGAGATCTGTGGAACTTTGAACTTGAGAGAGATGATTTAGGGTATCTGGTGGAAGAAATTTCTAAGCAGCAAAGTGTTCAAGATGTTTGGTGCTCTTAAAAGCATTCGGTTTTATTCCTTCACAAAGATATGGTTTGGGATTGGAACTTGTATTTAAAAGGGAAGCACAGCACTAAATTTCAGAGAATTTGCAGCCTAACAATGCAATAGAAGAGAAAAACTAATTTTCTGATGAAAAATTTAAGCCAGCTGCAGAAATTTGTATAAGTAACAAGGGGCCAAATGTTAATTGTCAAGACAATGGGCAAAATGTCTCCAGGGCATGTTAGAGGTCTTCATAGCACCTCCTCACATCACAAGCCAGGAGGCCTAGGAGGAAAAAATGGTTTCGTGGGTTGGGCTCAGGGTCCTGCTGCTTTGTGCAGTCTGAGAACTTGGTGCCCTCTGCCCCTGCAGCCACACCTGTGACTGAACATCCAGGCATTTCCATACAACCTCTGAAATCTAGGTGGAAGTTTCCAAACCTTATTCTTGTCTTCTGTGCACCTGTAAGACCAACACCATGTGGAAGCTGCCAAGCCTTGGGGCTTTCAATCTCTGAAGCCATGGCCTGAGCTGTACCTTGGCCCCTTTTAGCCATGGCTGGAGCAGCTGGGACACAGGGCGTCAAGTCCCTAGGCTGTACACAGCAGGGGGGCCCTGCGTCCAGCCCACAAAACCATTTTTAACTCCTAAGCTGCCTTGAAGGTCTCTGATACTCCCTGGAGACATTTTCCCCATTGTCTTCGTGATTAACCAAGTGTTACTTATGCAAATTTCTACAGCAGGCTTGAATTTCTCTCCAGAAAATGGGTTTTCCTTGTCTACTGCATTGTCAGGCTGCTAATTTTCCAAACTTTTATCCTCTGCTTCCTCTTGAACACTTTGCCACTTAGAATTTTCTTCTGCCAGATATTCTAAATCATCTCTCAAGTTCAAAGTTCCACAGATCTCTAGGGCAGGGGCAAAATGCTGCCAGTGTCTTTGCTAAAGCATAGCAAGAGTCACCTTTGCTCCAGTTGCCAACAAGTTCCTCATCTCCATCTGAGACCACATCAGCCTGGACTTTCTTGTCCATATCACTATTAGCATTTTGGTCAAAGACATTCAACAAATCTCTAGGAAGTTCCAAACTTTCCCACATCTTCCTTTCTTCTGAGCCCTCCAAGTCTCTAGTAAGTTCCAAACTTTCCCACATTTTCATATCTTCTTCTGGACCCTCCAAACTGTTCCAACCTCTGCTTGTTACCCAGTCCCAAAGTTGCTTTCACATATTTGGGTTCTTTACAGCAGCACCCCACTTCCGGTACCAATTTACTGTATTAGTCTGTTCTCACACTGTTAATTAAGACATACCTGTGACTGGTTAATTTATAGAGGAAAGGAGGTTTAATGGACTTAGAGTTCTACATGGTTGGGGAGGCCTCACAATCATGCCGGAAGGCAAAGGAGGAGCAACAGCACGCTTTACATGGCGGCAGACAAGTGAGCTTGTGCAGGGGAACTGCCCTTTATAAATCCATCAGATCTCTTGAGACTTACTCACTATCATGAGAACAGCATGGGAAAACCCACCCCCGTGATTCAGTTATCTCCCAGCAGGTCACTCCCACAACACGTGGGGATATGGGAGCTGCCATTCAAGAAGAGATATGGGTGGGGACAGAGCCAAACCACATCAGAGATGTTCCCTGGATTTCTTCTATCTGGATGTCTACCTCTCTAGCAAGATTAGGGAAATTTTCTTGAGCTATTCCCTCAATTACATTTTCCAGGTTGTTTACTTTTTCTCCCTTCTCAGGAATGCCAATAATGTGTAGGTTTGGTCACTTTAAGTAATTCTGTGTTTCTTGAAGATTTTGTTCATTAAAAATTTTTTTTCTATATTTTTGTCTGTCTGGGTTAGTTCAAAAGACTGGTCTTCAGGCTCTGAAATTCTTTATTCTGTTTGGCCCAGTCTATTGGTAAAGTTTCAATTGTATTTTGAAATTCCATGAGTGTTTCAATTCCAGAAGCTCTGATTGATTTATTGTTAAGATTTCTTCCTTCATTTCCTGGGTGGCTTTAGAAGTTTCTGTGTGCTAATTTTCAACTCCGTTTTGCATCTTGTCGAGCTCCCTTTGTAGCAGGAAGAGCTGCAGACAAAACCCCTCGAAACACCGAGTTTAGGAAAGAAAGGGCTTTATTTGGCCGGGAGTGTCAGCAGTCTTATTCTCAAAAAACCAAGCTCCCTGAGTGAGCAATTCCTGTCCCTTTTAAGGGCTTACAGTTCTAAAGGGGTCTGTGTGAGAGGGTCGTGATTGATTGAGCAAGCAGTGGGTATGTGACTGGGGCCTGCATGCACCAGTAATCAGAATGGAACAGAACAGGACAGGGATTTTCACGATGCTTTTCCATACAATGTCTGAAATCTATAGATAACACAAGCAGTTAAGTCAGGGGTTGATTTTTAACTACCAGGCCCAGGGCATGGCACCGGGCTGTCTTCTTGTGGATTTCATTTCTGCCTTTTAGTTTTTACTTTTTTCTTTGGAGGCAGAAATTGAGCATAAGACAATATGAGGGTCTCCTCCCTTACCTTGAAATCCATGCCTACATATCTTACCTGTCATTTCTGAGTTTCTGTTTTGGTCAGGGACCATTGCTGGAGAGCTACTGGGATCCTCTGGAGGTGTCCCTACGTTCACATTTTTCATGGCACCAAAATTCTTCTGCTGGCTCATCTGGAGATGCTGGCACTTCTAATTTTTGTAATTATTTTCTTGCAGGTAGGATTTTTCTCTTCTTTCTCCGTAATATTATCTTTTAATCCCTCCCCCACCCCCTGGTAGGGGGCTGTGACTGTTGTGAGTACTAGGTGGGGTCTTTTGGCTTTGCCTCTAGAGCCTTATGCACTTCTGTCGGCAGGTTTTATATCGGGGTGTGCAGTTTGACCCACAAGCCAGTAGATGGTGTGTATGGGTAGGAGTGGCTGTGGCCACTGGGGCTGGGTATATCCTGGATCTTTGTTTACTGGGAGAAGCTTTCTGTTGCCTTAGGCAATGGGCTGATACTTGGAGTGCACAGAGGTCTGAGCTCCCTGCTCAGCCCAGAGGTGGGGTGGGGAGGAGGGGGTTGTAGGGGTGCAGGGCTAGACTGGACGGGTCCACCACCAGGTCCTCCGTTGGCCAGCACAATCACCAGCACCAAGGGAGAACCCAGGGGGCGGCCACTAGGTACACAGAGGTGGGCCCAGGTGTGGAGCTGGGAAACCTTCTCGGCCCCAAGCCTAACTGTGTTCTTAATTTTCAAGGTAATTTTGGCTATTCTAGGTCTTTTGTATTTCCATGTAAGCTTTAGTGGCAGCTTGTCGTTTCCTGCCGGGGTTCTGATCGGGATTGCAGGGAATCTATACACCCACTGGGTAGGACTGATATTGGGTAGGACCGACATTGGGTAGGACTGACATTGCGTAGGACCGACATTGGGTAGGACCGACATTGCGTAGGACCGACATTGCGTAGGACCGACATTGGGTAGGACCGACATTGCGTAGGACCGACATTGGGTAGGACCGACATTGGGTAGGACCGACATTGCGTAGGACCGACATTGGGTAGGACTGACATTGCGTAGGACCGACATTGCCTAGGACCGACATTGCGTAGGACCGACATTGGGTAGGACCGACATTGCGTAGGTCCAACATTGGGTAGGACTGACATTGCGTAGGACCGACATTGCCTAGGACCGACATTGCGTAGGACCGACATTGGGTAGGACCGACATTGCGTAGGACCGACATTGCCTAGGACCGACATTGCGTAGGACCGACATTGGGTAGGACCGACATTGCGTAGGACCGACATTGGGTAGGACCGACATTGGGTAGGACCGACATTGCGTAGGACCGACATTGGGTAGGACTGACATTGCGTAGGACCGACATTGCCTAGGACCGACATTGCGTAGGACCGACATTGGGTAGGACCGACATTGCGTAGGTCCAACATTGGGTAGGACTGACATTGCGTAGGACCGACATTGCCTAGGACCGACATTGCGTAGGACCGACATTGGGTAGGACGGACATCTTGACGGTATTAGGTCCTCTGATTCTCTATTTAGGTCTTAATGTCACTGTTTCACTTAATTTCAGTGTTTGGTAGTCAACATACTCAAGTCTTACACACCTTTTGTTAAATTTATCTGTAGAGATTTCATATTTTGATGTGATTTTTTCCATTGCTTAACTGTTCATTGCAAGCATATAGAAATATGGTTGGTTTTTTAATATTGAATTTATTTTCCTTCAACTCTCAGAGCTGGTTCCAAGCCTGACTTTTATTCACTGTTGCCTCTGAACACCTGGGTTGAATCTTCTACTCTCTGCATCCTTTGAACTTGTTTAAAATGTGCATGAGCAGCTGTCCCCTGCCCATTTTACGGAGTAGTGAGGGTCGAAGGAGCCCTTTGAGAAGGAAGCATTCTAGGCCTAAAGTACTAAATTGTTTACACAAATATCACAGATCCTGGTCCACCCAGGCCCTAGTGCTCGGCCAGCATTTGGTCCTGTGACAGAGCTGAGCACCAGGGGAAAGTCGGAAGAACTGTTTAAAAATGCTTAATAGCATGGTTCAAAGTTGTGTGCCATTTTTTCCTCAGACTCGTTTACTTTAAGGAAACAAAGCTATAGAGGGTGAGTGCTAGATGGGAAAACCATGGCTGTGGCTCCGTTTTTGAAGTCTGCAACATGTTACACCATTTCTTCTGGTTTCCAGCCCCTTCTCATCCCATTTATGTTTTATTTGGACTGTTTTTGATACACCAGAAATCAGTGACAGCAATAGAACAGCTGTTATCCAGCAGCCCTGACTTAATTTGACACAGCAGTGACTCAGAGTGTGGTCTTTCGGTGCAGCTATCTCCAACAATAAGCATGAAAAGAAACATTAGAGAGCTTTTAAAACACTTTTATTTTTAAGGTTTTTTTTTTTTTTTTTTTTTTCTGAGACACGGTCTTCTTCCATCGCCCAGGCTGGAGCGCGGTGGTGCCATCATGGCTCACTGCAGCCTCCATCTCCCGGGCTCAGTGGATCCTCCCACCTCAGCCTCCCGAGTAACTGGGACTACAGGGGTGCACCATTACACCTGGCTAAAAATTTTAAATATTTAGTAGTGTTCTGTTTTCTAATTCATGTTATTCCCGTGGATGGCCCAGTCCTGAGGGCCACCCCTGCCCAGTGGTGCTCAAGGCTTCACAAGACCTGACCCTTCCCAGTGAACGCTGACTATACTGGGGCCGAGCATTTGACTGCAACACAGCCAGTTCACATGCTGGTAAGCAGCCTGGGACCTATGCTTGTGAGTGAAGACTGGGCCACCAGGTCTGTATTATCAGGTGAACACCCAGAGAGGCACACAGACCCTGTGTGAGCAGACGTCGTGGTGGGAGAGGAAGGGGCCCCACACAGCTGCCCCGCACCCACAACCCTGATGGACAAGCTGTGCCCACCTTTTTGGGAGGACCGACGCCCTGCAGTCTGATCAATACCCGCAGCTCTTGGCCGTTGGCTGTGTCACAGCTGCCTGGAGGCCTGGCCCCTAGATTTCTGATGAAGAACTGACTTTGAGAACTACTGCTCTACAAAGATGACAATCCAGTTTTATTGTTGACATATCACTAGTGAGTCGGCGTGATCTGTTTGGCAACTAGGTGCCTGCACACAGGCACACATACATGCACACCCAGGTAGATGCGCACACATCTGTGCTCACTCAGATGCACACACAGGCACACGTACGTGCACACCCAGGTAGATGCACACACAGGCACATGTACGTGCACACCCAGGTAGATGCACACACAGGCACACATAAGTGCATACACAGGCACAGACATGCACACACAGGCACACACATGTGCACACACAGATGTGAACACATACATGCACACACGCACAAATACATGTACACACACTGGCAGACACAGGAATGCATGCACGCACTCATACATGTACACATACACATGCATGCACACACTCATAGATGTACATAGAGACACAGGTACACATACACGCACACAGGTGCACACATGCACACACATGCACACTCACTGGGCTGGACTGGGGGGCAGGTGTGGGCTTCAGTGCATCTGCATCTGGATCCTCCATAGCTGTTCCTGGCTCCAGGCTTGCCTGTGGCTCAGTGACTCAGAACCACCTGGGAAAACTGTAAAGCTGGGGTGCTCGGCTCCCTGGGGGTCTGGCCTAGCTGGTCCGGTGGCAGGGTTGGAGTGCACTGGGAGCTCTGCGGCAGACCCTGCACAACTCTGTGACTCGCTGGCAACAGGCTCGCCTTGTCTCGACTCCTTGCCTCGACTCCTGCCTGTCCTTCCTTCCTCTGTGAAAGGCACGTCACAGTCCAGTCCTCCTCAAAGTGTGGCCCAATCCGCATCCCCTGGGTGCTGTCAGAGCTGCAGACACCAGGCCCGGCCCTGTGCTCAGGCAAGTCCCTGAGACAGGGATGCGTGGCTGAGACGCCGACAGACACATCTCTTGGAGGCTTTGAGAAGGAGCCGATGGCTGTCCCTAGCAGAGAACGACCCTTCAACCCAGGCAGGAAGCCCATCTGAGACTCCATGTGCTGGACCCCAGTGCCTGTGCTATGGCGTCTCATCACAGACACTAGTGCGCAGGCTGGTGATACAGATGCCGCGGCCAGCCTGGAAGGAGCCGCCTTGGGGACGAAGATACTTCTGAGGACCCCTGGAGGCCTCTTTCTTCCTGGCCCCTGGCTGGCCTCACCCTTAGATGACGGTGCTGGAGGAGGGGAAGTGCAGTGCAGCGGACACAGATGGTGGTCCAGGTAAGAAGCGTCACCCCGACAGTGCCTGGGGGCCCAGCTCAGGGATGCCTGCTGCAGACCACCTTTCCTAGAAGCTCCACCTGAAAGGTTTTTTTTGAGACAGGCTCTGTTGCCCAGGCTGGAGTGCAGTGGCATGATCTTGGCTTACTGCAGCCTCGAACTCCTGGGCTCAAGTGATCCTCCCACCTCAGCCTCCTAAGCAGCTGGGACCACAGGTGCACACCACCATGCCTGGCTAATTATTTTTGTAGTACAGGGTCTTGCCGTCGAACTCCTAGCCTCCCGAAGCACTGGGATTACAGGTGTGAGCTGCCATGCCCAGCCCTGAATGGTTTTTAAGGCGTGCACACACAGTCTTAGAGCTGGATTTTTCCAAAGCCGGCTATTTCAGCCCTGCTCCACGGGCTCGTCAGGTCCCTTTGACTAGGGGTCTGTGGCTGCCAGAAACAGGTTTGGAGGCCGGGACGTGACCTCCTGCTGAGGGCTGACCAGCTTGCTGGGGAGAGACCCGGCAGGGAGACTCACTGGCCCTACAGCTTGCTGGGGAGAGACCCGGCAGGGAGACTCACTGGCCCTACAGCTTTCCCTGCAGCTGGGCCTGGCGCAAAGCAGCTCAGACTTCAGCCTCGCAGGCCACACCCCTCCCCATCGGTGACTGCTGCCCTGAGTGAGGCCGGCACACGGCCCCCTCCTGCGTTGTCTCCAGGTCTCTGTCCACTGATCTCTATCCTGGCAGCCTCTGCCCTGCCTCGCCAGTGCCTGCTGGAGGTCAGGGGGCGGCTGTGGGCCTGGGCACGTGAGGGGCAGTGACTGTGCCCGCTTGGATGTGTGCATGGAGTGGGCAGTGCAGGAGCCCAGCGAACAAGGAGCATGGGGCTGGCATTTGGCCTGGGAGGCCTGGCGCATCTTCCTCTTCCTGCCCTCAGCGCCTCTGCTCCGCTTTCTAGCCATGTCGCACTCGGGGATAAAACCGAGGACATTTGGGGAAATTCTTGGCATCACGTATTGGAAAGGCAAAGGGGTCCCAGGCTCCATCTTCGGGTGCTGTGGCCTGAACTGTGGAGCTCAGACCTCCCCACGCCCCGGTTGCCTCGTGCAGACAATTGGGCCAGGAGGGGGTTCTGCATGCGGCAGATCCAGCCACTGCCAGGGCACCCAGAACCACGCGCGCAGGTTCAGTGTCAGTGCCAGAGAAGCCCGGCCCAGCCGTCCCTGTCCGTGTGGTTGTGGCTTCAGCAGACCTGCCAGTGGCCAGTGCTGCCTCACGAGGGCGTCTGTGGCCAGGCTCACCAGAGACTGGAAAGTTCCCGGAGGACAGGGGGACGGACACCACGCCAGCTGGAGCGATCTTCTGGTGACGAGGCGGCTCCACCATCCAGTGGCAGCTCCTTGATGTTCTTACTGTCATCGTCCCCAAAAATCCCAACAGAATTCCACGTCAGGAAACAAAAAGGAAAGACACACCCGTGGCGAAGGCCCCAGCCCCACCCCCTGCCCAGATAGACAGCCATCGGCGTGCGACAGAGACCCAGGAGAGGCTCCCTTGCCCCCTGCGTCCACACTGGGTGAGCCTGCAGCGCTGGGCAGGGCACCATGGACACCTGGCGAGGAAACGCAGCGGCAACATCTGCCTGCGCAGCCTGTGGCGGGGGCTGGTGTCGAAGGGCGCATGGGCCTTGCAAAGGGGCCCCAGCCAGCGCCCCCTGGCCCCGGAGCAGAGCTCTGCAAGGTAGGACTTCCCCGCGGCCTCCCAGGGCCATGTTTGGTTTTGCTGCCATTCTGGGAAGGCTGTGTGCCTCGCAGTTGTGCTCTGGGCCGAGTTTGTCTTCCTGACCCGTCACAGCAGCCTCAGCACTTTAATCCCGTCCAACGTGGCAACATCAAGGCACGTCCGTCAGGGGGACCTTTGAGCCCAGCGGGGCCAAGCGGCCTCCCAGCTGGAGCGCACAGAGGACAGCCAAGCCGACGTCCCCCTGCCCCAGAGTGGCCTCTGGAGCCAGCGCTGTCTCGGCAAAACATCACCCACCAAGTTATGTTCATGTTGGTTTTTAATTACATTTGTTTTATTTGCGGCTATTCGGCTTTATGGCGGAATACAAGTCAGCAAGAGCTTGTGCCCAGTTTTATTAAGCTGTTTGTACAGCATAAGTAGCCATTAAATCAAAACCCTGGGCAGTGGCAAGACTTTCGTTTCTGTTAAAGAGGGTCTGTGTGTGATTTCAGTCTGAGAAACACTGGGCCCCCGTGCTCCACGGTGACCACCTGCCACACGTGGGTGGTTTGGCAAGAGAAGCCATGTGGTGTTTCCTCCGAGTCCACACCAGGATGATGGTGCGTTAGCGATATGTGGTCAGAGGACACATCACCGTCAGAATTAACCCCGCCCGTCTCACGTTGCTTTTTAATGTGACTCCCAGGAAGCCTAGGATCCCCTGCGCAGCGCGTTCTGTGTATGGAGCAGCAGCACGAGCTGAGGCTCTGCTCCCGGTCCTTCCCTAGACCCCCTGCAGCTGCTGCCACCCTGGGTGCTGACCCTCCAGCCAGGGGTCTCGGCTTGGGCCCTGCAGGAGCGTGTGGCCCGGTCCCATCACCAGCGGGTCTCTGTGTCCAGCTGCACCAGCTCCTTCGGCTGGGGCCCTCCAAGGATGGCTGGGGCTGTGGGCGGCTCCAGGCCGGCTTCTGCCGTGCACCTGGTTTCTAACCCACCCGGAGCCATCCTACTTCCTAAGCTCTGTCCAGCGCCCAGTGGCTGGCCCAGCCTGGGATGAGGAACGTAACGGGGATGTGAGGTCAGTGTGGGGAGAGTGAGGGGCCTCCCAGGGCGGCTCCCACATCCTGCCTGTCCTGGCAGCCTCCCAGCCAGAACTCCTGCGGGGTGAGTCTGAACTTCCATATGGACCTCCGCCTGCTCCCGCCTCTTTGCCATTCAACCCCCGGAATCTGTGAAAAACAAAATAAAACTAAAACCCAACTCTCACCAGGCACGGTGGCTCACGCCTGTAATCCCAGCACTTTGGGAGACCAAGGCAGGTGAATCACTTGAAGTCAGGAGTTTGAGACCAGCCTGGCCAACATGGTGAAACCCTGTCTTTACCAAAAATATAAAAAATTAGCCAGGCGTGGTAGGGCACGCCTATAATCCCAGCTAATTGGGAGGCTGAGGCAGGAGAATCGCTTGAACCCGGGAGGCGGAGCTTGCAGTGAGCCGAGATCGCGCCACTGCACTCCAGCCTGGGCGACAGAGCGAGACTCTGTCTCAAAAAAAAAAAAAAAAAAAAAAAAAAGCACTAGTAGAAGCTGCCACCAGAGAGAGGCTCACATCCAGTTTTCACAGGACGCAAGAACTTTGCAGCAATGGCTGTGATTTCGCCCGTGGCTGGAGGATGTCTCGAGTCTGGACGCTGCCTCGGTGCGTGCAGCCGGGCTGGTGAGCCTGTTTCCCGCAGTCTGTGCTGCGCCCCAGGGATCTAGCAATGGCCGGCACCGTCCCCGCCTGCAGAGGACCTGGCAGCCAGGCAGAGCGCGTGTCAGCCCCAACACCGCAGACACCAGGGATTTGTTTCTGACAATCTGGAGGCTGGAAGTTCCGGGCCAAGGTGCCGGCCGACCTGGTTCCTGGAGCCACCTCGCGCCTTCCCTCTGCACAGGCAGGGAGCACGTGGTGTCTGTTCTTCTCCTGGAGGCCACGGCCCATGGGATCAGGACCCCACACTCCCGGCTCAGTTACCCTAACTACCTCTGAAAAGGCTGCGTCTCCAAATACCACACGTCGAAGCTGAGACTTCAGTGAATGGATTTGGGGGATGCGGTGCTGCCCGTGGCTGCACCTGTGACAGCTGAGGAAGGGACAGGTCTGGGGTCTGAGAGGAGGGCGGGGTGGTTCTGCAGAAAGTGGGGAGGAAGAGGCAGTGCGTTTAGGTAGGGCCTCAAGGAGCAGGTGGACTCGGCCGCGGACAAGGCGAAGTCATCCAGCAAACATGGAGCAGCGTCGTGTGCGGAGACACAGGGACCCTGGTAGCCTGAGGCCTGAGAGCCGGCTGGGGGCAGGCGTGGGGTGTCCACCCAAACGGCTGCACAGAGGGTCTGAGCTGACCCTGAGGGCAGTGGGCAGTGATGTCAGATTTACATTCAAGGCGGTCTCCTGGGAGAAGAGAAAGGCCTGGACCCCGTGCTGGCCACACCCTTACCCGAGACGAGGACCCCCGCCCCACCCCGCCCCCGCACCACAGGCGCCCATGGGAGTCAGCAGAGGCTGGAAGTCGTGGTTGCCTTTGAGCGGGGGAGGGAGGGCGGGGTGGAGGGGCCACGCTTCCCCCTGCATACTTCCCCCTGCATACTTTGGGGTCTTTGGTGCTGTGCACAGTTCTTGCCTATGAAAAGAGTAAAGTAAGTTAGCTGGGTGCAGTGGCTCACACCTGTAATCCCAGCACCTTGGGAGGCTGAGGCAGGCCTACTGCTTGAGCCCAGAAGGCTGAGGCTGCCGTGAGCCATGATCACGCCACTGCACTCCAGCCTGGGTCGAAGAGCAAGACCTCATCTCAAAAACAATTTTTTTTTCCCCAGGAAAGTAAAAGAAATCAATGACCTTTCATTTCATTTTTAAAAGGAAGAGTCTGCACTTGAGAAATGGCATCCGGTGGCAAGGCTGAAACTTCTTCTTGGAGGGGCTCCAGCTGCAATTCAGTTGGGAAAGCTCCTCGAAGGCCGCCTTGTGTCGGCCATAACGCCCTGCTTAGAGCCCTCGCCCTCCCCTGTCTGTGTGCGGCTGGAGGCCTCGTCCGCCCAGGTGCTCTCCCCAGCCCTCCCTCGGTCCTGTCCTGACCTTAGAGATAAGGTGCCCCTGGACCCTGGAGCTTCTCCCCTGGCCGGCCAGCCCCGCCCGGCTCCATCCTGCAGGACGCCATGCATTGAAATCTGGGGACTGGCCTTCAGGGTCCTCCTTACCTCTAGGCCACTTTGTAGCTTAACATTTGTGGTTCGCTGTAAAGTAAATACCCCCCCACGAGGACTTCCCTAGACACTCAAAGCTGGTCTCGAGGTTCGGATCCTACTCCCAGTGTGTTCTCTGTGGTGAGACCCCTCACCCCCATCAGCCTACTCCGCCTCCCATTTATTTATCAGTCCCCCCTCTCACTTGCACACTGGTAAGGAGCACCTCTGGGCCGGAGACCCCACGTGCTCAGGCAGCTGCCACAGGCATCTTGCTTTGAACAATAAAATTGGGCAGAAATGACTGTCACCTGTGGGGGCACGTCAGAGTCGGCACTGACCCTCCAGGCTCCTCCCAGGGCTGCGCGGGGACATGAAGGAGGGCAGTGTCCTGGGGGCCGATGGACCCCTCCAGCCAGCACGCCAGGGAGGCAGGAGCTTTCGCCTGCCAACGCCCTGCCTTGGGGTGTCTGTTCCACAGCCCACCCTGGCCTGTGCTGACACCCCGCAGCTTTCCATGCGGCCCTGAGATGCTGATGGGGCAGGAGAGCGGGCAGGAGGGGCAGGGGGAGGAAGCTACAGCAGCCACTCTTCCCAGCAGGAGACACGGCGGGTGCTGCGGGCAGGGGGCTGGGGGCGGCCAGCTGTGAGTGAACTGGGGACGTTGCTCTCTGGAGCCTTCCTGGAACAGTCCTCGGAGGCCCTGGCCGGCTTCGAGGGCACAAAGGCTGCCCCGCAGCACACGCTGTATGGGGCACACAGGGCTTCTCCGGTCCGGCCCCTGCAGGACGCCAGGTGTGTTTCCTGGAGAAAGGTGCCAGCAGCCTCGGCCCGCATTGATCAGCCACGAGCCCCTCTCGTGCTCACCAGGGCTCCTCAGCGGATTAAACAGCAGAGAGGGGAGCCAAGGGCCCGCCGTGAGACGCTGGGAAGCAGCTGCCGGTGGAGTCGCTGTCGTCAGCGCTCGGAGGAAAGCGCCCAGTGGGTACGTGGCGCAGCCGTGAGCCGGGGATGACTCAGGCCCGATTCACAAAGGACCAGAGAAGCCCGATGCGGGGACGCCGGGGACGCCGATGCCACTCCTGCCCCGGGCGCTGCGGGGGCGGGAGGAAGACGCATCCCCCAGTCCCCTAGACCCGGGAGGCTGGAAGCTCCCACGCGCAGAGGGGCCAGCGGGGAGCCGGCCAGGGGTGTGCGTAGGTCCTGGCTTCTCACTGCTGTGTGCAGAGGCCGGGCTTGGCTGGGAGTTCAGACCCCGGGGCGGGAGGTGGGGGGCAGGTGGCGTCTGCTGCTGGGGATGGGAGGGAGGCTCCCGGAACGCCGGGCGTGGGAGCGGTGACAGCTCTGTCTGCGTCTGGCCTTGGGAGACAGTTTGTCGCCTGCAGGAGGCATTGCAAATCCTGCCCCGGCTGCCGCCTTGGCCCTGTCACCAGGTGCTGGCTGGTCTGGGAGGTGGACAGAGGGACGGGGCCTCTCAATTACCCCCGTCACCAGGTGCTGGCCGGCCTGGGAGGTGGACAGAGGGACGGGGCCTCTCGGTCACCCCCGTCAGCAGGTGCTGGCCGGCCTGGGAGGTGGACAGAGGGACGGGGCCTCTCGGTCACCCCCGTCAGCAGGTGCTGGCCGGCCTGGGAGGTGGACGGAGGGACGGGGCCTCTCGGTCACCCCCGTCAGCAGGTGCTGGCCGGCCTGGGAGGTGGACGGAGGGACGGGGCCTCTCGGTCACCCCCGTCAGCAGGTGCTGGCCGGCCTGGGAGGTGGACGGAGGGACGGGGCCTCTCGGTCACCCCCGTCAGCAGGTGCTGGCCGGCCTGGGAGGTGGACAGAGGGACGGGGCCTCTCGGTCACCCCCGTCAGCAGGTGCTGGCCGGCCTGGGAGGTGGACGGAGGGACGGGGCCTCTCGGTCACCCCCGTCAGCAGGTGCTGGCCGGCCTGGGAGGTGGACGGAGGGACGGGGCCTCTCGGTCACCCCCGTCAGCAGGTGCTGGCCGGCCTGGGAGGTGGACGGAGGGACGGGGCCTCTCGGTCACCCCCGTCAGCAGGTGCTGGCCGGCCTGGGAGGTGGACGGAGAGAGGGGGCCTCTCGGTCACCCCCGTCACCAGGTGCTGGCCGGCCTGGGAGGTGGACGGAGGGAGGGGGCCTCTCGGTCACCCCCGTCACCAGGTGCTGGCCGGCCTGGGAGGTGGACAGAGGGTCAGTGCCTCTTGATCACTCCTTGGCCAGTCTAGTCCTGGCCTTTGCTGCACACAAATGGGATGGTTTGAGGGACAGAGCATCTTAGAGCCTCACAGGTTCCTTCCAGCTTCAGCACACAGCAGCCTTCTGTGCAGAAAGCAGATTGATTCCTGTGTCAGAAATCGGTGAGGGTGCCGCCTGCTCCACGGGAGAATGAGGGCAGCTTGTGGATCAGAGCGGCAGTCGCTGTGGAGACGGGGGCCAGGTCGGGCCGGAGGAGCGCTGGCCGCTGGGTGGGAAGAGTCCAGGGCCCACTGGTCACAGCTGCCTGTCTCAGAGTGGACGGTCCCAGGGTGGACGGCGGCGCTGGTGCCCGGCCCCTCCTGCTTCCCGGCACAGGCACTCCTCACCTGGAGGAACAGGCAGGTCCTCACCCCAGGGCCGCGCTCTGGTTCAAGAATCCCTTATCTTCTTGTGGAGAGGAGGAATCCTGTATTTCCTGGTGGTCTCCGAAGTGTGGTCTGATGGAAATAGGATGCCAACCGCATTCAAGAAAGGAGAAACAGGCTAAGCTCATCTTAGTTCATTCACCCAATACATCCAAAGTATGGCCACTGCACACCGTCAGCACAAGAGATTGCAACGTGGTTTCCGTGCTGTTTTCCACACTGAGCCTTTGGCCTTGCAGATCACACCGGGTGCGTCTTGGGAGCCCAGCTCTGCGGGGCCAGGTCCGCACCCGGACTGCTCAGGTCTCCACTGGGCAGTGTCATCCAAGATGCTTTCACCAGCTCCCCGGGGATTTCTGGTTGGAGGGAACATGGTCACTCTCAGCTGAGCTCCTCCCACTGCTGAGGACCCCAGAAAATGACCAGGAGTAGAGAGGGAGGGCACAGGGGGGCCCAGGGCCATCCAGTTCCCAGCAGCTCCGTTCCTGCCACTACAGGCTGCCACACTCAGCTGCATGTCTGCTGTGTTGACACTGCTGCCCTGGCTGGGGCGAATCAGCGCCTCTTCCTTCTGCGGCATGTCAGTCTCTCTGCCTGGCCCTCCTGAATGTGGTGGGATACACATAACGTGACGTTTGCCATTGCAACCATTTCTAAGTGCATAATGAGTGGCATTAAGCACATTCGCGTTGTTGCACATCCCATCTCCAGAACTTTTTTTCTTGTAAAACTGAAACTCTGGTCCCATTGAACAACTCCTTATTCCTGCTCCCCCAGGCCCTGGAACCCACCGTTTTACTTTCTGTCTGTGAATCTCATGACTCTAGGGACCTCATGTGAGTGCAATTACACAGGATTTGTCCTTTTGGGACCGGCTGATTCCACTCAGCATAACATCCTGAAGGTTCATGCGTGCTGTAATGTGTGTTAGAAAAAGGCTGGAAATTATCCCACTGCATGAACAGACCTCATGTTGTCCATTCGTCCATCAGTGAATGCATGGGTTGCTTCCCCTCTTTCAGCTGCTGTGTGCAAATAGCTGTTCCAGACCCTGCTTTCAGTTGGGGCGGTGGCTCATGCCTGCAATCCCAGTGCTTTGGGAAACCGATGCAGGAGGATCACCTGAGGCCAGGAGTCTGCCACTAACCTAGGCAACGTGGCAAGACTCCATCTCTACAAAAAATTTAAAAATTAGCTGCATATGTGTATTAGAGCGTTCTCACGCTGCTAATAAAGACATACCTGAGACTGAGTAATTTATACAAGAAAGAGGTTTAATTGACTCACAGTTCAGCATGGCTGGGGAGGCCTCAGGAAACTTACAATCATGGCGGAAGGGGAGGCAAACATGTCCTTCTTCAGGTGATGGCAGGAAGGAGAAGTGCTGAGCAAAGGAGAAAAAGCCCTTATAGCACCATCGGATCTCAGGAGAACTCAATATCACAAGAACAGCAGGAGGCTAACCACCCCATGATTCAATTACCTCCTACCAGGTCCCTCTCGTGACACATTGGGATTATGGGAACAACAATTCAAGATGAGATTTGGGTGGGGACACAGCCAAACCATATCAACATGGTAGCGTGCATCTGTAGACCCAGCTCCTTGGGAGGCTGAGGGAGGAGGATCCCTTGAGCTCAGGAGGTTGAGGCTATAGTGAGCTATGGTTGTGCCATTGCACTCCAGCCTGGGTAACAGAGCGAGATTCTGAAAAAAATAAAAGACCCTGCCTTCAATTCTTTTGGGGATACACCCCGAAGAGGGACTGTCGATCCTATGGTAATTCCATCGTTAATTCTTGGAGGAGCCACCAGGCTGTTTCCACAGTGGCCGCCCCTTTCCGCATTCCCACCAGCAGTGCCCCGGCTTCCCCACATCTCCAGCAATGCTTGTTATTTTCCTGTTGTTTGCATGGTCCTCCCTTCTCCATTTACCCACAGAGGCCCCAGGCCCAGGTGTGGGTGTATCCTAGGGGATTAGGTGGGCCAGCCCTGCTCAGCAGAGCAGAGGGCCTCACCTGGTGCTCTCACGTGGAAGCAGGTCAGGACCCTCACCCGTGGTACCAGGGCCACGGAGCTGGCTGAGCACATGGGGTCACCCGCACAGGCTCCGGCGCTCTCACCTGGGCTTCCAGGTGGATGTTCCCATGGCTGGACAAGGTTCAAACATGGTGCCCAGGCCCGTGCTGCCTCCCGCTGAGACTACATCATCTCCACAGGCCTCGTGGTCACCTGCATCCTGGTGGTGGGCAGGAAAGCAGCCCAGGAGGGCAGGTGGGTGTCCCAACAGCGTGTGCAAGTACGGGGGCCAACCTTTCATGAACACATTGAAAAGCAGTCCCATTGCAGGCCAGGGCCCTGCACCATAGACCCTGCACTGTAGACCCTGCACTGAAGACTCAGGTCCCGTCCCCACAGACCCTGCACTGTAGACCTGATTCCTGTCCCTACAGACCCTGCACTGTAGACCTGGGTCCCGTCCCCACAGACCCTGCACTATAGACCTGGGTCCCATCCCCACAGACCCTGCACTGTAGACCTGGGTCCCGTCCCCACAGACCCTGCACTGTAGACCTGGGTCCTGTCCCCACAGACCCTTTACTGTAGACCTGGGTCCCGTCCCCACAGACCTTGCACTATAGACCTGGGTCCTGTCCCTGCAGACCCTGCACTGTAGACCCGGGTCCTGTCCTCATAGATCCTGCACTATAGACCTGGGTCTCGTCCCCACAGAGCCTGCACTGTAGACCTGATTCCCGTCCCCACAGACCCTGCACTGTAGACCTGATTCCTGTCCTCATTACCCTGCAGTGTAGACATGATTCCCGTCCTCATTACCCTGCACTGTAGACATGATTCCCCTCCCCATAGACCCTGCACTGTAGACCTGATTCCTGTCCCCGCAGACCCTGCTCTGTAGACCTGATTCCCGTCCTCATTACCCTGCAGTGTAGACCTGGGTCCCATCCCCACAGACCCTGCACTGTAGACCTGATTCCTGTCCCTACAGACCCTGCACTGTAGACCCGGGTCCTGTCCTCATAGATCCTGCACTATAGACCTGGGTCCTGTCCCCACAGACCCTGCACTGAAGACCCAGGTCCCGTCCCCACAGACCCTGCACTGTAGACATGATTCCCCTCCCCATAGACCCTGCACTGTAGACCTAGGTCCCGTCCCCACAGACCCTGCACTGTAGACCTGATTCCCGTCCCCACAGACCCTGCACTGTAGACCTGATTCCCGTCCTCATTACCCTGCAGTGTAGACATGATTCCCGTCCTCATTACCCTGCACTGTAGACATGATTCCCCTCCCCATAGACCCTGCACTGTAGACCTGATTCCCGTCCCCGCAGACCCTGCACTGTAGACCTGATTCCCGTCCTCATTACCCTGCAGTGTAGACCCGGGTCCCCTCCCCATAGACCCCGCACTGTAGACCTGGGTCCCGTCCCCATAGACCCTGCACTGTAGACATTACCCTGCAGTGTAGACCCGGGTCCCCTCCCCATAGACCCCGCACTGTAGACCTGGGTCCCGTCCCCATAGACCCCGCACTGTAGACCTGGGTCCCAACCCCATAGACCCCGCACTGTAGACCTGGGTCCCGACCCCATAGACCCCGCACTGTAGACCTGGGTCCTGACCCCATAGACCCCGCACTGTAGACCTGGGTCCTGACCCCATAGACCCCGCACTGTAGACCTGGGTCCTGACCCCATAGACCCCGCACTGTAGACCTGGGTCCTGACCCCATAGACCCCGCACTGTAGACCTGGGTCCTGACCCCATAGACCCCGCACTGTAGACCTGGGTCCTGACCCCATAGACCCCGCACTGTAGACCTGGGTCCTGACCCCATAGACCTTGCACTATAGACCTGGGTCCTGACCCCATAGCCTCTCTATTGTACACCTGCGCCCTGTTCCCTGTGGAGCCACCCATGGGCTGGGGCCCTAGTTGAGGATCCTGTCCTGTTGTAGGGCTGTTTGCCCACAGGCCTGTGTGGGAGGCCTTGGTCTCACCACACAGGCTGCGTCCCTCCACGTTCCGCCTGCTGGAAATGAGGCCTTCTCTAAATTCTCGCTCAGTATCAGACTGAGCCTCAGGGAGCTTCTGAAATGCATTTTCCAGCACTCGTCAGTGGTTAATGGAGGACTTGTGTTATGCTCGGCCTCAGGGAGTGGGAAGGAATGACTCACTCTCCTGCCCTGCACCGAAGGTCCTTTGACAGCAACTCAGGCACCTGATGCCAGGTCAGGCTGTCCTCACTCGGGGTCTCTGACTGTGGATGGAGCGGTCGCTGCTTCCCCAGAGTAGGACCCACTCACCTCTCCCCAGGTAGGAGCCGCCCCAGTAGCCAAGGGCTAGAGAACTCGCTGGGCCAGCGCCAGCCGAGCCCCCTCCCCCCAGCTGTGAAGCCGGCGCTCTCACCTGCCCCTCACTCGCGGGCAGGGCGGCCTCTGGAGACTGGTGCTGCTCACGGGGCCGTGCCTTCCACCAAACTGCCAGGCCAAGGTCCTTGGCCCCAGCACAAAACAGGCTTGGGCTTCTCGGCTACCAACATTGTTTCCTCCAGGCTGGACCCAGGCGTCTCCTGAGAGAGCCGAGTTCATGTGAAGACTCTCCCTCCTGCGAGGCTCCCGCCCACTGATCCATCCGGACTAAACTCTTCAGCTCCCAAAGCTGCCCTGGTTCCTGCAGTCTGGGGAGTCAGGGAGTCAGGGAGGACTTGAAGTCACTCACCTGGAAGCCCGTGTGCTGCGGGGCTGAGGTTGAGGCTCCCACAGGAGGAGCTGAGGGTGGCATCTGAGAACAAGTGGTTTATTTGGGAGGTGGCCCGAGGAAGTGAGGCTCCCCACAGGAGGAGCTGAGGGTGGCATCTGAGAACAAGTGGTTTATTTGGGAGGTGGCCCGAGGAAGTGAGGCTCCCCACAGGAGGAGCTGAGGGTGGCATCTGAGAGCAGGTGGTTTATCTGGGAGGTGGCCCCAGGAAGCGGACCGGGGAAGGCACCTTGCCCAGCAGTTTGACCTTGTGGGCAGCTCATGCTGGGCCTGTGGGGCCTCCCGGGGATGCGATGATCCCCACAGGAGGAATCCGTGGTGTTTATCTACCTGCTCCTGCTTGGTGGGGGCAGGAGTGGTTTTCTACTGCTAAGGAGCCCCACTGCGGATGGGATGTTTGGTTGGCACCTTCCAGTCACCTGCACAGCCCCAGGGCAGGCCCTTGGCTTTTCTTCCCATCCTGGCAACAAGAAGGGGATGTGGCTGAAAACACCCCACACCACCATCAACCTCACGTCGACTTGGAAAATGCCGGCGACTGCAGGGATTGGTATCAGAGCCCACGCCAGGGGGAGGCCTGTGGGGTCGGGGTTTCCTTGGTGTCACAGCCCACGCCGGGGGGAGGCCTGTGGGGTCGGGGTTTCCTTGGTGTCACAGCCCACGCCGGGGGGAGGCCTGTGGGGTCGGGGTTTCCTTGGTGTCACAGCCCACGCCGGGGGGAGGCCTGTGGGGTCGGGGTTTCCTTGGTGTCACAGCCCACGCCGGGGGGAGGCCTGTGGGGTCGGGGTTTCCTTGGTGTCACAGCCCACGCCGGGGGGAGGCCTGTGGGGTCGGGGTTTCCTTGGTGTCACAGCCCACGCCGGGGGGAGGCCTGTGGGGTCGGGGTTTCCTTGGTGTCACAGCCCACGCCGGGGGGAGGCCTGTGGGGTCGGGGTTTCCTTGGTGTCACAGCCCACGCCGGGGAAGGAGGCCTGTGGGGTCGGGGTTTCCTTGGGGTCACAGCCCACGCCGGGGGGAGGCCTGTGGGGTCGGGGTTTCCTTGGGATCACAGCCCACGCCAGGGGAGGCCTGTGGGGTCGGGGTTTCCTTGGGGTCACAGCCCACGCCGGGGGGAGGCCTGTGGGGTCGGGGTTTCCTTGGGGTCACAGCCCACGCCGGGGGAGGCCTGTAGGGTCGGGGTTTCCTTGGGATCACAGCACACGCTGGGGAAGGAGGCCTGTGGGGTTGGGGTTTCCTTGGTGTCACAGCACACGCTGGGGAAGGAGGCACCTGGGGTTGGGGTTTCCCACTGACACGTTTCTGTGTCACAGATTTGCACACACGGGAATGCTGGGCGTTCCGGTTCTGCAGAGCACGCAGTGGGCACAGCCTGAAAATCACCTTTCTAAAACGGGCATGGTTTTCCTGACCTCCCACGTCCTCTGCAGCGGCAGGTAGGGGACAGCGGGTCTCTGAGTGCATCCCTGGCTGCCGGCCAGGCCTCGCAAGGGGCGTAGATGGCTTAGATTGGCTGGACTGGACCTGACTTATAAATAATCCAGGAGCTGTGTGATGCCTCCCGGGCCGGGGCTGCCATGGGCCTTGCCTAGGGAAGATCTGCGGGAGGCTTGGCCGAGTGAGTTTGCTTTGATTTCTCAGAGAGTCAGATGGGCCTCTTGGGCTTCAGGACGCCTGGTGACAGCTCGTGCCGGTGTCCTGAACTGACCGCTCCTGCCTCGGAATCAAATCGGGGGCAGAAAAGCCAAATCCAGGCCAGGGGTGACCTCGAACTAAAATCCCCTGGAGAACTTGTTGAAATGCAGGTTCCTGGGCCCCTTCCAGAAAGCCAGCTCCACAGGCGAAGCCGCCCAGGGCATCTGGACGGGGCCCAGGGCCATGCCCTGAGAAGCAAAGTATGATGGTGCTTTTAGAATCGACAAGCTGTGAGGAGGAGAAAACCAAAAACAGGGCTGAGCCTAGAAAGTGCCGCTCATGGGAGGGGCACGGTGGCTCATGCCTGTAATCCCCACGCTTTGGGAGGCCGAGGCGGGTGGATCACCTGAGGTCGGGAGTTTGAGACCAGCCTGACCAACATGGTGAAACTCTGTCTCTACTAAAAATACAAAAATTAGCCGGGCGTGGTGGCCCATGTCTGTAATCCCAGCTACTTGGGAGGCTGAGGCAGGAGAATTGCTTGAACCTGGGAGGCAGAGGTTGCAGTGAGCTGAGCACCACTGCACTCCAGCCTGGGCAACAGAGCAAGACTCTGTCTCAAAAAAAAAAGAAAGAAAGAAAGAAAGAAAGAAAGAAAGAAAGAAAGAAAGAAAGAAAGAAAGAAAGAAGGAAGGAAGGAAGGAAGGAAGGAAGGAAGGAAGGAAGGAAGGAAGGAAGGAAGGAAAGAACGAACGAAAGTACGACTTGTGGTGAGAGCTTGACGGAAGCACCTTCTGCTCCTGCCTCCCGTCTTGGGCTGGCCTTGCCTGGTGGACTTCAGGGACCTCGTCTGGCCATGCAGGGCCTCCCGCCGGGCTGCCAGGGTCAGGGCTCAGCCGAACGCACAGGTGTCGAGGGCTAAGAACAGATCCACCTTGTGGCATTAGAGACCCAGGCCGTCCACCAGGTGACCAGAAGGGCCTCTGATCTGACGGAGAATGATTACCTGAGGCCAGAGGGGAACCGAGGCCAGGGCCACCCCTTTAGACCTGGATGTGGAGGCCTGGGTTGGGCCCAGGCACTCACAGGGCGTCTGTGCCGGCGGCATCTGCACCCACTGCCCGCACCCAGCAACCCCTGACCCTCGCTGCACTGACCCCGGTGCCTGCCCGGCCCCCAGCTTCCTGCGGGCTCCCTCCTGGTTTCGCTCCTTGCTTCCTCCCTGGCTGCCCGCCCCCTCTGAGACTCATGACTCATCTGACATTTCTCAGGAGGCTTCTCTGTGCCAGGCAGGCACACCAAGGCTCTCTTCCAACAATATCTCAGGAGGGCTTGTGGCACCGGCGCTGCCAGCGGCTGGCGCCTCTAAACCCAGCGTGCGATCCGTCTCCACAGCCACCAGCCCTCACGCTGGACACAGGGGCTGAGGCCGGGCATCACAGATGCGTGGAAAGCTGGCCACAGGCTCCTGACGAAGGACCCTTGGACCTCCTCGCCTCCCACCGGATAAGAAGCATCCCCTCTGTGGGCGACGATGCAGTCCAGAGCTGGAGAGGGAGAGACTTCAGAAAGAATGGGACCCAGGCCACTGTAGAAAACGTCTCCTCTCGCAGGCGGTACTGGGGGGTTCTGGGGTGTAGGTGTGGCCGGCACAGCTGACCGCTTCCATCAGTTCCTGAGTGGGTCACTGAGGCTGTGGCAGCAAACCCTGCCCGTCGGGGGATGGCGAGGGTGTGAGTGCTTGGACCTTCATCCTTGGCTCAGAGGAAGTGCTCAGCGCACTTCTCCCGTGTGAAGGTGATGTCTCCGTTTCTGTTGGTTCTTTTGTGAACTGAAATGAGCAAGTTGAAGAGACTAAATAGCTTACTATGACACCCATGTCTCACTGTTATCTTTAAAGACACAGGGAGCATAGTCCCTGTCCACGGGTTAGTCTCGGGGATCTGGGGAGGCCAGTGGTTAGGACAGAGAGCGGCGTGATGGCGTGCATGCTGACGGCCCCGAGCGCGGTGACCCTAACCCTGACACAGCGCCATGGCCCGTCTCCAGGTGTGGCTGCACCTGCCCAAGCGGCGGCAAAGTTTCTGTTTGGGGCCTTGGGCAAACGTTTCGGAAAGAGCTTCAGTGTTAACAAACTCTACTCCCAACCTCCAGTCAGGGCCAGACTTAGGGCCAGTGCCCAGGGTTTGCCCCAGGACACAAAAGCATCTTGAGGGGAAAAAATAATCATCGAGATTATGCAAAACTTCCTGCCCCTTCGCTCTTTAGCAAACCTTGACTGCAGCCTCCAGCCTCGTTTCTCAGGACACCTCCAGCATCTCAGCCCCACCACGAGCCCCCAGAGACGAACCTGGACTTGGGTGAGCTCTGGAGGGATTCGCTGGCAGGGGAAGTGTGGAGCCTGGCCCTGCGCAGGGCTGGGCCTCGCCACCGGCCCTCCTTCCTCAGCATGGGCCTCTGCCCCTGTTCAGGGAAAGTGACCCCCTGCCTGCTGAGGGTGATATCTATGCTTGCATTTCCGGGGTGCACCTCCATTCGCTCGTTTTTAAAACTCCATCTTTAATACCTGGTATTTTCAATGCTGACGCTGCCTGGCAGTCCCAGCTCTATGGTATTTTCAATGCTGACGCTGCCCGGCAGTCCCAGCTCTACTTTCTAAAATGAATAACTGGAGTTGGAGGAAAAAGCAGTTTTCTGAAACTCAGGGCTGCAGCCAACCTTTGTCCATCCAAGAATGTCCCCGAATCACTGGGGCACACCTTGCAGCCACCTCGACATCAGACAGGCCCTCCTGCCTCGGGGGCACGGGGACACGGCCATCGTCTGGAGCACGTGTACCCAGCTTCTCAACACACCGCCACCCGCCTGGCCCAGCCCCTACCCTCTCGCCTCCTGCACCCCTGCAGCAGCCAGAGGCTGGTTTCCCTGCAAAATGCGCGACCCCATCATGTCCCTGCTCACATGCTCCCGCAGGGCCTGCCGCCCTCCCCAGCAGGGCCCGCCACCCTCCCCAGCAGGGCCCGTCACCCTCCCTAGCAGGGCCCACCACCCGCCCCAGCAGAACCTGCCACCATCAGAACCCGAAGATCTCAGGGCGCTCTAGGAGTTCTGGGGGGCCTGGCTCTTCCTGCCAGGGAAAGCACCTCTGACCCGTCTCCTCCCGCATCAGCTCCTGGCTTATTCTCCGCGTGACCCGTCCCTCTCTGTGAGTCATTTGTGTTCCAGGGCAAGGCTGGCCGCTGCCGGGGCCCAGGCACACACAGGCACACTGGGATCATTTGTGAAATAAATGCGTGAATATTAAATATCCCATTTCAGTTACTGCCAAAGTCACTGGACTCTGGATTCCACGTGATCTCCGTCCAAGAGCCCTGGGGGTTGCGTCTACACCTAGGAGCCATGTCTTCCTACCCACGTTAGTGAAGTCTGGGGTTAGTTCAGTGCAAAAACTTACATTTATCAATAAAATGAAATCTCGCCAGGCTGAGCGCAGTGGTTCACGCCTGTAATCCCAGCACTTTGGGAGGCCGAGGTGGGCAGATCACCTGAGGTCGGGAATTTGAGATCAGCCTGACCAACACGGCAAAACCCTGTCTCTACTAAAATACAAACATTAGCCGGGCATGGTGGCATGTGCCTGTAACCGCAGGTACTTGGAAGGCTGAGGCAGAAGCATCGCTTGAACCTGGGAGGCGGAGGTTGCAGTGAGCCAAGATTGCACCATCGCACTCGAGCCTGGGCAACAAGAGTGAAACTCCGTCTCAAAAAAAAAAAAAAAAAAAAATCTTGGCAGAGTCAGTCTTTCCACCTTGTTAGGATCTTTTCAGAGACTGCGTCACCCTCAGCAGGATGGTCCCACCTTGAGTGCCTACACTAATTTGAGGGGTGTCCTCACCTCGCCCCACCTGCTGAGTCACCGTTCCATGAATGGCAAGGAGCAGGGGGCCCAGTGACCCCCGCCTGAAATCCACGGTGGGTCTGCTCCATCTCATCCTCCCAGCCGGCCACCAGCACCCGGGACAAACAGAAGAAGAAGACACCCATGTAATTTTAGATTCCTCGTAGCCATGGTTAAGAAGTAAAAGAAGCAGATAAAATTCTGATAAAATATTTTAAACCACTATATCCGTAGTATTATTTCAACATGTAACCAGTATACAAATCATTAATGAGGTATTTTGTTGGGGGGTGTTGCCGCCAAGTCTCGGAAATCTGATGTGTTTTACGCTGACAGCCTGGCGTCGACCCAGCCCCTCTTTTCAGCCCCAATCTGTGCAGTGAGCTGGTCCCAGCGTCTACTACCCCCAAGGCCCCACCAGGCCTGGCTGTCCGCTTCTCTCCCAGTCACACCTGTGGGGCCTCAGGGCCATTTCCACACTCTGGCCGTCCTCACCTGGAACCCATCTGCGCACAGGTGGGCCAGGGAAGCCCTGCTCTGGAGGCGTGGCGGAGGCCAAGCCCCAGCCAACCCACTTGCCCCAAGTGGCCCCAACAGGGAGAGAGGTGGAGTCTGATGGTGGCCTCGGCCTGCAGGCAGTGAGCAGGTGAGCAACGTGGGGCTCCGTGACCTCCCTCCTCGCAAGCAGCCCAGCCCCTGGGCAGCGGCCGCCGGGAGGGGCAGGAAGCTGGCTGGGGTCCCGGGGCAGCCCCTCCTCCATTTCCCCACCTCCCAGGCACCTTCCCTTTGCAGCTTCCATAGCTGCCAAGCCCGGCCAGGCGGCTGTTTTAAACGCACATTGCAAATGACGCCTTCATCATTATTTTGAAAACCGTCAGAGGTAAAGGTTTGATTGGTCTTTGGCATGAGGGAAAGCACAGTCCACAGAGGAATTTCCCAAGTTGCTTCAGAACTGGGGAAATTTGTGTGTTTGCAAGTTCCCATCAAGACCCCATGAAGAGCCGTGTGGTCTGGTGTTGTCTCTGAAGTCTTTAGTTTTATTAAGTCCCGGGATCCTTGTGCAGGACGTGCAGGTTTGTTACGTAGGTAAACTTGTGCCATGGGGGTTTGCTGCACCCATCAGCCATTACCTGGGTATTAGGCCCCACATGGATTAGCTATTGATTCTGATGCTCTCCCTCCCCCCACCCCACCCCTCCCATCGGCCCCGGTGTGTGGTGTTCCCCTCCCTGTGTCCACGTGTTCTCGTTGTACAGCTCCCACTTATAAGTGAGGACGTGTGGTGTTTGGTTTTCTGTTCCTGCGTTAGTTGGCTGAGGATAATGGTGTCCAGCTTCATCCATGTCCCTGTAAAGGACATGATTCTGAAGTCTCGGGAGCTGTCTCTCTGTTCCACAGTTTTTTTTCTTGTCTTTGACTTGAAGGAACTGGGTCAATTGTCCTGCGGAATGTTCCACCTTCTGGGTTTATCTATGGATGAGGTATGTAGGATATTTTTTAGCAAATAATTCTCTCCCTGCCCTCAGGCTCTGTAGGAGAAGGACGTTTCCTGCCCCAGCACGGCTGGTTGGACGGTGACTTGCATTGACCCAGGGTGGGTGGAGGTGCCTCCCCTTCTCCTGGAGCTTTCCTCTGTGGCCCCTGCACAGCTTGGCTCAAAACGAGACAGCCACAGAGCTACGGGGCTCCCCTCACTCCTGCGGGTGTGACAGACCATCATCAATTTCAGGGTCATTTGTTACGCAGCATGGCTGTGTCCAGAGCTAGCTAACACAGGGGGCTGCGTGGTGCTGTTGGGCTGGCTTCTACATGCCCCTGTCTCCTCTAAGCTGAACGGCAGCCGTGAAGGTGCAGTGTAGCGGAGAGGGAATCTTTCACAGGCGGTGCAGGATACTTTACCTCCTCTCACATGAGGATGCACAGACATCGGCCAACTTCAGCCGCGACTCTAACATTGATCAGTGACATCAGGCTTCTCTTACAGGGCTCCTTGCAGCTCCCGTCCGGGCGTTCATTTTGTGACTCAGTGATGATGTTTGCACAGATCCGTTCTTTCACTGGGGGTTACAATCCCGTGATGCTCTAGCTCTCCAGTCTTTCTCTATTTATTATCTGGAATTCCTCTTTAAAAAGAATATTCCCTTAATATTAAATTAGGATTGTTCAGAAAGAAAGTTTTAACATTTTTCCTTTTCATTGCCAATTTTCTGAGTATAATAAATTGGTGTCCAATTTACCTCCAATGGTAACAAATAAGATTTTTTGTCTTATTCTTTGTGTTTTGCTTTTTATTTTTAAACTAATGGCGTGAACGCATGTTTTGTTAGATCATGTCTCAGTCAATACAGTCATGCTTCCTTTTGACCTTAAGCCTTCCCATCACTGGCTGCGGAGCCCACTTCCCAGAGGTGCCTCTGTTCTTAGTCTAACTGGCCTTTGCAGCTTCTTTGATTTCCAGGACACAAAGGTGTCCTTGGGCTTATCTTGCATCTCCCCTGCCCCTGTCCTGGACCTGCCATCCTCCTCTGAGCCCCGGCTCCCCGCTGCCCCTGTCCTGGACCTGCCATCCTCCTCTGAGCCCCAGCTCCTCCCGCCCCAGTCCTGGACTAGCCATCCTCCTCTGAGCCCCAGCTCCCCGCTGCCCCTGTCCTGGACCTGCCATCCTCCTCTGAGCCCCAGCTCCTCCCGCCCCAGTCCTGGACTAGCCATCCTCCTCTGAGCCCCAGCTCCCCGCTGCCCCTGTCCTGGGCTGGCCATCCTCCTCTGACCTCCTCTGAGCCCTGGCTTCTGCCGAGGGGTTGGTGTCCAGCAACCGGAGCCTGAGTGTGGGATGGCTGCCTCTGCCCTCTTGCTGCTTCCAGGCCGTTCACTGGCCAGAGTTAGGGAAAAAGATGATATGTGTATGCTAATATTTCCAACGCACATTTAACATTCTAGGGTTTTTACTGTTTTAAATGTTATATTTACATCTTTGTGTGAGTCCATTCGGGCCGCTGTCATAGACTGGGTGTCTTGTAAACAACAGTCACAGTGCTAGAGGCTGGCAGCCAAGGTACTGGCAGAATCAGTGTCTGGTGGGGGCCTGCTTCCTGGTTTGTAGACAATGCTTTCCTGCCTCACACATCCTCACATCGTGGAAGGGGAGAGAGAGCTCTCTGGGGCCTCTTTCATAAGGGCACTAATCCCATTCACAGGGGCTCCACCCTCATGACCTAATCTCTTCCCAAAGGACCCACCTTCAAACACCATCCCCTCCGGGGTGAGGATTTCAGTGTATGCATTTTGGGGAGACACAAACATTCTGTCTGCAGCTGTCTCTGCTTTTTGAGATGGAGCCTCGCTCTGTCACCCAGGCTGGAGTGCGGTGGCATGATCTCCGCTCACTGCAACCTCCGTCTCCTAGGTTCAAGTGATTCTCTTGCCTCAGCCTCCCAAGTTGCTGGGACTACAGGTTTGCACCACCACCCCCAGCTAATTTTTGTATTTTTAGTAGAGACAGGGTTTTGCCATGTTGGCTGGGCTGGTCTCGAACTCCTGACCTCAGGTGATCCACCCACCTCAGCCGCCCAAAGTGCTGGGATTGCAGGCGTGAGTCACCGTGCCCAGCCGTCCTTTTTTCTTACAATGAAATGTTCCATTCATTGTGTGGATTCCCTTATTGACCTGCTCTCCCAGTTCTCCAAGTCTCGCACACATTGTTCAATCCAGGATTGAGTATCAGTTGCCGTTATATTTACCAATTTAAATGAAAGCGCTCAACAACATACACGCATTCTGGTTGCTCCAAATACTCATCAGCACTTGGTGTTGTCAGTCTTCTAAATCGTAGCCATTTAGCAGTGTGCAGTAGTCTCTCATTGTGGTTTTCATTTGCATGTGATTAATCTGCATAATGTTAAGCATATTTTGGTTTTTTTTGGCAATTTGTATATTTTATGAAGTGTCCAAATATTTTTCCCAATTAAAAAAATGAGTTGTTTGTCTTATCATTGAGTTGTAAGAGTTGTTTCCATATTCCAGGTACAAGTCCTGTGTCAGAAATTTTCTCCCAGGTTGGGGCTTGCTTTTTCATTTTCTTAATGGAGACTTTCAAAGTACAGAAGTTTGCATTTTAATCTGTGCTTTCTGTGTCTTTATTCTTTGGCTACTTTTTTTTTTTTTTTTTTTAAGACAGAGTCTCACTCTGTCACCCAGGCTGCAGTGCAGTGGTGTGATCTCGGCTCACTGAAACCTCCACCTCCTGGGTTCGAGCAATTCTCGTGCCTCAGCCTCCCAAGTAGCTGGGATTACAGGCATGTGCCACCTCACCTGGCTAAGTTTTGTATTTTTAATAGAGATGGGGTTTCGCCATGTTGGCCAGGCTGGTCTCAAACTCCTGACCTCAAGTGATCCACTCACCTTGGCCTCCCAAAGTACAGGCATGAACCATCATTTCCAGCCCTTTGGCTACTTTTAAGATTTTGGTTTTTTATTATGAGTTTTGAGTATTTTCATTATAATATGTCCTGGTATGATTTTCTTTGTATTTATCCCTGAGGGGTCATTGAGTTTTTGGGTTCTAGGTTTATATGCTTTTTTTAATTTAGAAAATTGCACCATTAAATTTCTCTTCACCCCCATCCCCAAGCTAGGCTTCCAGTTACACACATTTAGACCACGTGATGTAGCCTTGGGTGTTTGAGGCCTCTGCTCAGGTTTTCAGTGTTTTTCTCTCTGTGCTTTATTTCGGATAGATTCTTTTGCTGTGCCTTTAAGTTCACTGATCTTTTCTTCATCAATGTCTAATTAGCTGTTAATACCATTTAATAGAATTTTTGTTTTAGCTATTGTAATTTTCATCTCTGGAACTTTCATTTAGTTCTTTTTCTATCTTTTATATCTTGCATTTTTCTCTCCTCATTATATTCTTGAGAATATTGAACACATCTATAATAACTATTTTAAGTCTTTGTGTGCTAACTCCGTAATCTCTGTCACTTCTAGGTCTGTTTCTATTGACTGATTTGGCTTCACATCTTCTCGCTTTGTTGCATGTCTGGTAATTTTGTTTTAGATGCCAGCCAATGTGAATTTTAGATTTTCAGACTCTAGATTTTCTTGTATTTCTTTAAAAACTATTGAAGTTATTTTCAGTCCTGCTTGATCTTTTCAAGTCTTGTTTTTAAGCTGTTTTAAGGCAGGTCTAAGTTAGTCTTTCCCATAGAACTAGTTTAGGCTCACTACTAAGGCAGTTTACTGACGGCCAATGGACTCAACACAGTCTCTCCCTCCTAGCCATGGAGGATGTAAATGATTCCTCACCTGTGAGCTCTGGACGTTGCTTCCCTTATAGCTCCCCAGTGCCTTTTCTTTCCCTGGAATTTGCTGTTTGCAAACTAAGGAGTTTTGCCTTGGTCATGAGCATATGGTTTCCAGCTGAAGACTCAGG